>NC_000022.11:10924572-10966724 GCF_000001405.40 Homo sapiens
GATCTGAAGACAAATCAGGGTTGCAGGATGGTTAAATATCTGCAAGTCAATAAATGTGATACACCATATAAACAGAATTAAAAACAAAAATCACATGATCATCTCAATACATGCAGAAAAAGGATTTGACAAAATCCAGCATCCCTTTATGCCTAAAACCCTCAGCAAAATTGACATAGAAAAAACATTTGACAAAATCCAGAATCCCTTTGTGATTAAAACCCTCAGCAAAATCAACATCGAAGGGACATACCTTAAGGTAATAAAAGCCATATATGACAAACACACAGCCAACATTATATGGAATGGGGAAAAGTTGAAAGCATTCCCCCTGAGAACTGGAACAAGACAATGATGTCAACTTTCACCACTTCTATTCAACACAGTACTAGAAGTCCTTGCCAGAACAATCAGATAAGAGAAATAAAGGGCATCCAAATCGGTAAAGAGGAAATCGAACTGTCACTCTTTGCTGATGACATGATCGTATACCTAAAAAACCCTAAAGACTCATCCCAAAAGCTACTAGAACTGGTAAATGAATTCAGCAAAGTTTCAGGATACAAAATTAATGTACACAAGTCAGTGGCTCTGCTATACAGTAATAGTGAACGAGCTGAGAATTATATAAAAAACTCGCCCCCTTTTACAATAGCTGCAATAGAAACCTTAGGAATATTATAATTCCTATAATTATAATAGTATATTCCTATAATTGTCAATTGCATGCAATCTTTGCAGAAAAATCTTAATTATATCCGGAATACTTAACCGAAGAGACAAAAGACCTCTACAAGGAAAACTATAAAACACTGCTGATACAAATCATAGATACAAACAAATGGAAACATATCCCATGCTCACGGATGGGTAAAATCAATATTGTGAAAATACCATACTGCCAAAAGCAATCTACAAACTCAATGCAATCCCCATTAAAGTACCAACATCAGTCTTCACAGAACTACAAAAATTCACATGGAACTAAAAAAGATATAGAAGGGACATACCTTAAGGCAATAAAAGCCTAGAACCAAAAAAGAGTCTGTATAGCCAAAGCAAGACTAAGCAAAAAGAACAAATACCAAAACAGCATGGTACTGGTATAAAAATAGCCATATAGATCAATGGAACATAATAGAGAACCCAGAAATAAAGCCAAATACTTACAGTCATCTAATCTTCAACAAAACAAACAAAAACATAAAGCAGAGAAAGAATACCCTATTCAACAAATGGTGCTGAGATAAATGGCAAGCCACACATAGAAGAATGAAAGTGGATGCTCATTTCTCACCCTATTCAAAAATCAACTCAAGATGGATCAAGGACTTAAATCTAATATCTGAAACCATAAAAATTCTAGAAGACAACATTGGAAAAAGCCTTCTAGACATTGGCTTAGGCAAAGACTTCATGACCAATAACCCAAAAAGCAAAAGCAACTAAAACAAAGATAAATAGATGAGACTTAATTAAACTCAAAGGCTTCTGCGCAGTAAGAGAAATAATCAGCAGAGTAAACAGATAACCTACAGAGTGGGAGAAAATCTTTGCAATCTGTACTTCTGATTAAAGGACTAATACCCAGAATCTGCAAGGAACTCAAACAAACCAGCAAGAAAAACATCCCGTCAAAAAGTGGGCTAAGGACATGAACAGACAATTCTCAAAAGAAGATAAGCAACTGGCCAACAAACACATGAAAAAATGCTCAACATAACTAATTATCTGGGAAATGCAAATCAAAACCACAATACAATATGATACCCCTTCACTCCTGCAAGAATGGTCATAATCAAAAAATCAAAAACTAATAGATGTTGGCATGGATGTGGTAAAAAGGGAACACTTTTACACTTTTTGGAGGGAATGTAAGCTAGTACAACAGCTATGGAAAGCAGTGAGGAGATTTCCAAAGAACTAAAAGCAGATCTATCATTTGATCCAGTAATTCCACTCCTGGGTACCTATTCAGAGGAAAATAAATGATTATATGAAAAAGATACTTGCACACGCATGTTTATAGCAGCACAATATGCAATTGGAAGAATTTGAAACCAGCCTAAATGCCCATCAATCAGTAAGTGGATAAATAAAATGTGGTATAAATATTTACCACATGGAATACTACTCAGCCATAAGATGGAATGAAATAATGCATTCATAGCAACCTGGATGAAACTGGACACCATTATTCTAAGTGAAGCAACTTAGGAATGGAAAACCAAACATTGTGTGTTCTCATTCATAAGTGAGAGCTAAGCTATGAGGATGTAAAGGCATAAGAATGATACAATGGTCTTCGGGGACTCAAGGAAAGGCTGGGAGTGGTGGGGTGGGTGCAGTGAGGGATGAAACACTACACATTGGGTACAGTGTACACTGCTTGGGTGATAGGTGCACCACAAATCTCAGAAATCGCCACTAAAGAACTTATTCCTGTAACCAAACACCACCTGTTTCCCAAAAACCTATTGAAATAAAAGAATCCCATCATATTCCCCAAAAACCTATTGAAATAAAAAAAAAATTAACCACAATATTAGGCATTGGGTACGAGGGCCTTAATACATGGGAGCACTGCAGTTACATTACAGCAATCCACTGTGAAACACCATTTATTATTTGCAGGTTTAAGAACAGGCCAAATTCTACTGCTAAACGTTGAAGCAATGGGAATTATCACCCCTTCACTAATTAATTAGGTCTTATATAATACGTTTTATTTATTTGAAGTCATGTTGTAATTTATGTTGGACCATATTTGCTAATTTATCAAGATGGGGAGGCTGGGCACGATGGCCCACACCTGTAATACCAGCACTTTGGTAGGCCGAGGCAGGAGGATTGCTTGAGGCCAGAAGTTAGAGACCAGCCTAAGCAACATAGCAAGACTCCACTTCTATAATTTTTTTTAATTGGCTGTGTTGGTGCATGCCTGTAATCCCAGCTACTTGGAAAGCTAAAATGGGAGGATTGCTTGAGCCCAGGAGTTCAAGGCAGCAGTGAGCTATGATTGTGCCACCACACTTCATTCAGCCGGGGTAATGGAGCAAAACCTCATCTCTAAAAAAATGAAAAATTAAAAATAAATCAAATTTAAAAAAAAACAGGAGAGGGAGTTCTGTAATGTTACATTTGGTGAAGTCAATGTGTAAGTGCAAATGATTTAATATCAATTTGTTACTCATTAGGTCAGAGCATCCAGGTCCTCTATGGACAAAGGCTTCTACGACTACGGGAAGTTTAGTCAAGGTAAAAAATGTGAGGCATAACTATGTGTCCTCTATTCTATATGCAGTTACTCTGCTAGGATTAGGGGGTGCAATGTTTAAATTTAGTGAAATCTCAGGTATAACAAAGTTTGAGCTCCAGTATTGATTAAGTTTGTGAAGGTATGCCAATTGGTAGATTTCAGCAGATGTTAAAATTGATTCAGAATATATGCTGGAGAGTTACAAATACCAATCAGCACACTTTTATCTTTGGACTGTATAAATTGTTTTAGAAAATAGTACATTTCCAATTAGGTCAGATGATAAACTTCCGTTTTAATTTAAATTTTGTTTTTCTGCATATCCAAGTTCCTTCCCTTCCTTCCTTCCTTCCTTCCTTCTTTCCATCTTTCCTTCCTTCCTTCCTTCCTTCCTTCCTTCTCCCCTTCCTTCCTTCCTGCCTTCCTTCTCCTTCCCTCTTTCCTTCCTTCCTTCCCTCCTTCCTTCCCTCTCTCCTTCCTTCCCTCTCTCCTTCCTTCCTTCCCTCCCTCCCTCCTTCCTTCCTTCCCTCTCTTCCTTCTTTCCTTCCTTCCTGCCCTCCTTTCCTCTCTTCCTTCCTTCATTCCTTCCTTCCCTCTCTCCTTCCTTCCTTCCTTCCATCCCTACCTCCCTCCCTACTTCCTTCCTTCCTTCCCTCTCTCCTTCCTTCCCTCCTTCCTTCCTTCCCTTTCCCTCATTTTTTTGCTGCTGGATATGGGGAAGGTTGTTCTCTTTCCCACTCATATTTATAATTTCTTTCTTTGAAACAGCCCCAAATCAGTGTCTTCAGAGTTAAGGTCCTCCTTGTGAGCAGATTGTGTGGTTTAAGAACCCTAGACTTAAGTCAGATTTGGATTTATCCCTTCTCTGTGCCTCAGGGGTACCGCAGGTGTCTTTTCCTATAACCCTGGGAATTAGATCTTTGTTGCAGCAGAACCATAAGTCACAGAGCGATGCAGCACAACCAGCCCACAATTCAGGGGTCAGTGGATTGAAATCATCTTCTGCTATGGCTCCATCTGGTTCTTCCAGGACTTCTCTCCCCCCCTTTTTTCCCTATTAGGGTGTTGAAACTTTAGTGGTATATACATTGTCTCATAATCAGTCAAAACTCCCTTTATCCCACATCATGGATTAAAGAAAACATTGCCAGGAGCCCTTCACTCTTCTAGAAGGACTTAATTTGATAGTTCCTTTTTCCATGGTTTAGAATAAAAGAGGTAATAACTAAAAGTATCTCCCTCATAATAGGCTCTACAGCAAATTCTACTTTAAAGGCTGTTGTTCGTGTGTTTAACTGTGGCTGCCCTTAATGTTTTTATCATCCACAGACAATTGTTGTCTCATTTTGGTCCTCTTTAAATGATGGTTTTATAATCAGCTATAAAATTTAATAGATGCCCTTAAATGCAGGATTCTGATTAATGACGCTGGAGATTGTGATATTAGAATAGAGGGAAAACTTTCAAATAGAAGAGTGAATGGTGTTTGGTCTACTTTGGACTGTATTTTTATAAATATGTTATTAGTATGTGTTCCAAAATTATTGGAAACTTCTATAGAAATGTAATCCCCAGTGTCAGAGACGGGGCCTGCTGGGAGGTGGCTGGTCCATGGGAGCAGTTTCCAGTGGTTCCCAGTGTCGGAGAAGGGGCCTGCTGGAAGGTGGCTGGTCCATGGGAGCAGCTTCCAGTGGTTCCCACTGTCGGAGATGGGGCCTGCTGGGAGGTGGCTGGTCCATGGGAGCAGTTTCTAATGGATAAGCATAATCCCCCTAGCGCTGCTCTTGTGATAGTGTTCTCATGAGATCTTGTTGTTTAAAGTGTGTAGGACCTTCCCCCTCTCTCTCTTCCTCCTGCTCTTGCTTTCCCTTCCACCATGATTGTTAAGTTTCCTGAGGCCTCCCCAGAAGCTGAGCAGATGTCAGCATCATGCTTGCTGTACAGGCTGTGGAACTGTGAGCCAATTTTCAGTACTCTTCTGTTTTCTTTTTATTTTTTTTAAATTTTATTTTAAGTTCCAGGATACATGTGCAGGAGATGCAGGTTTGTTACGTAGGTAAACGTGCACTGTGATGATTTGCTGTACCTATCAACCCACCGCCTAGGTGCCTACGTATTAAGCCCCACATGCGTTAGCTATTTATCCTGATGCTCTCCCTCCCCGTCCCCACTGACAGGCCCCAGTGTGTGTTCTTCCCCTCCCTGTGTCCAGGTGTTCTCATTATTCAGCTCCCACTTATGAGTGAGAACATGTGGTGTTTGGTCTTTTCCTGTATTAGTTTGCTGAAGATGATGGTTTCCAGATTCATTCATGACCCTGCAAAAGGCATGATCTCATTCCTTTTTATGGCTGCACAGTACTGCATGGCGTGTATGTACCACATTTTCTTTATCCAGTCTATCACTGATGGGCATTTGGATTGATTCCATGTTTTTCCTAATGGGAATAGTGCCGCTATAAACATACGCATGCATGCATCTTTATAATAGAATGATTTATAGACCTTTGGCTATATACCCAGTAATGGGATTTCTGGGTCAGATGGTATTTCTGGTTCTAGATCCTTGCAGAATTGCCAAACTGTCTTCCACAATGATTGAACTAATTAACATTCCTACCAACAGTGTAAAAGTGTTTATTTCTCCACAGCCTTGCCAGCATCTATTGTTTCTTGACTTTTAATTTTTTTTATTATAGTTTTTTAGGGTACATGTGCAAAACGTGCAGGTTTGTTACATATGTATACATGTGCCATGCTGGTGTCCTGCACCCATTAACTCGTCATTTAGCATTAGGTATATCTCCTAATGCTATCTCTCCCCCCTCCCCCCACCCCACAACAGTCCCCAGAGAGTGATGTTCCCCTTCCTTTGTCCATGTGTTCTCATTGTTCAATTCCCACCTATGAGTGACAAAATGTGGTGTTTGGTTTTTTGTCCTTGTGATGGTTTGCTGAGAATGATGGTTTCCAGCTTCATCCATGTC
Organism: Homo sapiens; assembly: GCF_000001405.40. Classification (NCBI taxonomy): domain Eukaryota; kingdom Metazoa; phylum Chordata; class Mammalia; order Primates; family Hominidae; genus Homo; species Homo sapiens. Next base: position 10,930,818 of record NC_000022.11, read on the forward strand.
CCTACAAAGGACAGGAACTCATCATTTTTTATGGCTGCATAGTATTCCATGGTGTATATGTGCCACATTTTCTTAATCCAGTCTATCATTGTTGGACATTTGGGTTGGTTCCAAGTCTTTGCTATTGTGAATACTGCCACAATAAACATATGTGTGCATGTGTCTTTATAGCAGCATGATTTATAGTCCTTTGGGTATATACCCAGTAATGGGATGGCTGGGTCAAATGGTATTTCTAGTTCTAGATCCCTGACGAATCACCACACTGACTTCCACAATGGGTGAACTAGTTTACAGTCCCACCAACAGTGTAAAAGTGATCCTATTTCTCCACATCCTCTCCAGCACCTGTTGTTTCCTGACTTTTTAATGACTGCCATTTTAACCGGTGTGAGATGATATCTCATTGTGGTTTTGATTTGCATTTCTCTGATGGCCAGTGATGATGAGCATTTTTTCATGTGTTTTTTGGCTGCATAAATGTCTTCTTTTGAGAAGTGTCTGTTCATATCCTTTGCCCACTTTTTGATTTTTTTTGTTTTGTTTTGTTTTTTTGTCAATTTGTTTGAGTTCATTGTAGATTCTGGATATTAACCCTTTGTCAGATGAGTAGGTTGCAAAAATTTTCTCCCATTCTGCAGGTTGCCTGTTCACTCTGATGGTAGTTTCTTTTGCTGTGCAGAAGCTCTTTAGTTTAATTAGATCCCATTTGTCAATTTTGGCTTTTGTTACCATTGCTTTTGGTGTTTTAGACATGAAGTCCTTGCCCATGCCTATGTCTTGAATGGTATTGCCTAGGTTTTCTTCTAGGGTTTTTATGGTTTTAGGTCTAACATGTAAGTCTTTAATCCATCTTGAATTAATTTTTGTATAAGGTGGAAGGAAGGGATCCAGGTTCAGCTTTCTACATATGGCTATCCAGTTTTCCCAGCACCATTTATTAAATAGGGAATCCTTTCCCCATTGCTTGTTTTTGTCATGTTTGTCAAAGATCAGATGGTTGTAGATAAGTGGCATTATTTCTGAGGGCTCTGTTCTGTTCCACTGAACTATGTCTCTGTTTTGGTACCAGTACCATGCTGTTTTGGTTACTGTAGCCTTGTAGTATAGTTTGAAGTCAGGTAGCATGATGCCTCCTGCTTTGTTCTTTTGGCTTAGGATTGACTTGGCAATGCGGGGTCCTTTTTGGTTCCACATGACCTTTAAACTAGTTTTTTACAATTCTGTGAAGAAAGTCAGTGGTATCTTGATGGGGATGGCATTGAATCTATAAATTACCTTGGGCAGTATGGCCATTTTCATGATATTGATTCTTCCTACCCATGAGCATGGAATGTTCTTCCATTTGTTTGTATCCTCTTTTATTTCATTGAGCAATGGTTTGTAGTTCTCCTTGAAGAGGTCCTTCACATCCCTTGTGAGTTGGATTCCTAGGTATTTTATTCTCTTTGAAGCAATTGTGAATGGGAGTTCCCTCATGATTTGGCTCTCTGTCTGTCTGTTATTGGTGTATAAGAATGCTTGTGATTTTTGCACATTGATTTTGTATCCTGAGACTTTGCTGAAGTTGCTTATCAGCTTAAGGAGATTTTAGGCTGAGATAATGGGGCTTTCTAGATATACAATCATGTCATCTGCAAACAGGGACAATTTGACTTCCTCTTTTCCTAATTGAATACCTTTTATTCCCTTCTCCTTCCTGATTGCCCTGGCCAGAACTTCCAACACTATGTTGAATAGGAGTGGTGAGAGAGAGAATCCCTGTTTGTGCCAGTTTTCAAAGGGAATGCTTCCAGTTTTTGTCTATTCAGTATGATACTGGCTGTGGGTTTGTCATAGATAACTATTATTATTACGAGATATGTCCTATCAATACCTAATTTATTGAGAGTTTTTAGCATGAAGTGTTGTTGAATTTTGTCAAAGGCCTTTTCTGCATCTATTGAGATAATCATGTGGTTTTTGTCTTTGGTTCTGTTTATATGCTAGATTACATTTATTGATTTGCGTATGTTGAACCAGCCTTGCATCCCAGGGATGAAGCCCACTTGATCATGGTGGATAAGCTTTTTGATGTGCTGCTGGATTTGGTTTGCCAGTATTTTATTGAGAATGTTTGCATCAATGTTCATCAAGGATATTGGTCTAAAATCCTCTTTTTTAGTTGTGTCTCTGCCAGGCTTTGTTATCAGGATGATGCTGGCCTCATAAAATGAGTTAGGGAGGATTCCCTCTTTTTCTATTGAATGGAATAGTATCAGAAGGAATGGTACCAACTCCTCCTTGTACCTCTGGTAGAATTCAGCTGTGAATCCATCTGGTCCTGGACTTTTTTTGGATGGTAAGCTATTGATAATTGCCACAATTTCAGAGCCTGTTATTGGTCTATTCAGAGATTCAACTTCTTTCATGTTTAGTCTTGGGAGGGTGTATGTGTCGAGGAATTTATCCATTTCTTCTAGATTTTCTGGTTTATTTGCCTAGAGGTGTTTGTAGTATTCTCTGATGGTAGTTTGTATTTCTGTGAGATCGGTGGTGATATCCCCTTTATCATTTTTTATTGCACCTATTTGATTCTTCTCTCTTTTCTTCTTTATTAGTCTTGCTAGCAGTCTATCGATTTTGTTGATATTTTCAAAAAACCAGCTCCTGGATTCATTAATTTTTTGAAGGGTTTTATGTATCTCTATTTCCTTCAGTTCTTCTCTGATATTAGTTATTTCTTGCCTTCTGCTAGCTTTTGAATGTGTTTGCTCTTGCTTTTCTAGTTCTTTTAATTGTGATGTTAGGTTGTCAATTTTGGATCTTTCTTGCTTTCTCTTGTGGGCATTTAGTGCTATAAATTTCCCTCTACACACTGCTTTGAATGTGTCCCAGAGATTGTTATGTTGTGTATTTATTTTTTTTAAGGAAGAGTCTTGCTCTGTCGCCCAGGCTGGAGTACAGTTGCTCGATCTCAGTTCACTGCACCCTCCACCTCCCAGGTTCAAGCGATTCTCCTGCCTCAGCCTCCTGATTAGCTGGGATTACAGGCGCCTGCCACCACACCCAGATAATTTTTGTATTTTTAGTAGAGAAGAGGTTTCACCATGTTGGCCAGGCTTGTCTCAAACTCCTGACCTCAAGTGATCCACCCACCTCAGCCTCCCAAAGTGCTGGGATTACAGGTGTAAGCCACCGTGCCCTGCCTGTTTCTTGTATTTGATGGTGAAAATCTGTTATTGACAGTAAGAGGATGGGGGCTCAGGTTAACAACAGAGTGTTAGAAAAGCAGCAGTAAAATTTTGGTTCTCAAAACATTTGATGTCTTATTCCTTTTTTTGAACATGGGTTTTGCTAAAAAAAAAAAAGGCCAGGCGTTTTGAAACTTGATTTTATTGTCATGTTCTCATTTTGAAATTCATCTTATTGTTTGTACGAATTGGCAGTCGTATGTGGGAAATTTCAGTTTTGCATACTTTCAGATTATTTTCATTTTTACATCAGAGATTTTGAACAGATGCTATACAAAAGTATTCATGTATTTATTCAACAAAATTTAGTGCTTGTTATGTTGCAAGATCTTAGTGAACTTCATGCTGTACGTGCCTCAGATACTTTTGTGAATGTAATGGCAACGTCAAAAACTTTGCCCTTATGCACCTTATAAACCTTTAATTTCAAGGCATGTTGATGAGTGAGCATCTGCTATAACATACTTTCATTGTCATTTAATTAACCATCATTTGGGTATACCTTATATTAAAACTGATTATTAAAAACTGGAAAATATTTAACACATCTTCATCTTGCCTTTTTCCTTAACATATGTAGATCAAGGGAGTCACTGAGAATCAATTTTAGGGATAGTTATAAAAATCTTAACTTTGCAATATAACTTTGTCCTCAATGTAATAACTGGAAAAAATAATTTACGTTTCAAAGGCTTTAATCTTTGTATTTTTTTGAAAAGGAGCCTTCACCGAGATTCTTTAAAAAATTCTTGCTCTGTCCTACAGTAGAGACTGATAGACTCATGGATATGGTCCTCTAATGGATCTGTACTACCTCAGTTCTCTGATTGTCGCCCTCCTGTGGTGAAAATTAAAGCTTATTTTCATTTCATATTTAGGATGTAATATGTTCTTTTTGGGAAAAAATGATGTTTCTTGAGAAATAAGTGCCTTCAGTATCACTGTGTGTCACTTAATAAATATGACTAATATCTACTTTTACCAATTGCTGCAATTTGATCCTTAAAGAGCCATCTTTAAATCATACTTTTTCTTTGGTTAAAGAAATTATAATAGACATTAATTATTTTTACATAATTTTCTTATGTGGACAGCCATTCTTAGAACTAAAACTTTCAGATGTTTATATTACAAGTACAAATATTATTTATTATTATTAATGTCAGTAGCCAAATGTAATCAACTGTCTTCCTTTTACTTCCTTTTTTGAATCAAAATGTTACACTTATACAAGCAAGAGCAACAGCTCTATATCTGGATCACTCAGTGCCTAGAAGATACAACAGCACAATTTACAAATCCAAATTTCCAGGAAGTCTCTGCACATACCTCTAGTACAAAAGATACTTCAGAGACTAGAGGGTCAGAGGGCAGAGAGGAAATATTCAACTCCCAGTTCAGGTCAAAAGGGAAGAAAGCCTGGTGTTGAAAGAAATCCAAGAATGACTGTATCTGCAACTCGCTCCTTTCTGTAAAGTATTCATGGTGTTTTACTTAAAATATTTGCTCTTATGATGGTCAATAATATTAATAGTTATGCTTTGTAAAAGAATTTATTCTTTACTTATAATTAACGGATCATTCTAAGTTATTATATGTATAGTTGCTATAGTAAGATGATGTGAAAGATTTGTTGCCTGTTAAATGTTTCTGGGATCTTTGCTTTATTTTTATATTATGATCTGTGCTTCCAAAGTTGAGCTGTAATTTTATTGTTTATACAAATGTAGAATAAAGCTTAAGTATGGGGAGAAAAATAAAAGCTAGAGTTTTCCTTTCAGCTATAGAACAGTCATTTATTTCTATAAATGTTCTTTCCTAGTTCCACATTTAAAAAGATAAATATGGGGATCTACACAGGTCTCAGTAAATAATAGTTCTTGATTAATAATGCATTTATTATAAAGCTTAAAGTTTAAAGTAGAATTTTGCTCAGCCTACATATCTTTTATGGTCAGGCTGCTCTAATTATGTAATACCCAGTTAAATTTCAATTTCAGATAAATAAGGAATAATATTTTAGTATAAGCATGTCCCAAATATTGTATGGGATATACTTACACTGAAAAAAGTATTTGTTTATCTGAAATTTCAAATTAACTGGGCATGCTATATTTTCTGTGGCAACCTGTTTTATAGAGAACAGAGTAAGTCAGCTAAATTTTAGAATACTTAACCCTAACCTGGTGTTCTAGGTCTTTCCTTTTTGTAATTATTATTATTATTTGGAGTCAGGGTCGTGCTCCATCACCCAGGCTGGAGTGCAGTGGCACAATCACAGTGCCCTGCAGACTTGAACTTCTGGGCTCAAGTGATTCTGGCACCTCTGCCTTTGCCTCCCAAGTAGCTAGTACCACAGGTACGTGGGCCCAGCTAATTTTTTTTTTTTTTTCTCATAGAGACAGGGTCTCCGGCTGGTCTGGAACTCCTGGGCTCAAGCAATCCTCCCGCCTCTGCCTTCACTTCCCAAATAGCTGAGACCACAGGCACACGCCACCACCATACCCAGCTTATTTTTTATCAGGTTGGTGCAAGAGTAATTGTGGGTTTTGCCATTGAAAGTAATGGCAAAACCAGCAATTACTTTTTGCACCACCCTAATAATTTTTTGTGGAGACAGGGTCTTGCCCTGTTGTCTAGGCTGGTTTCCAGCTCCTGGGCTCGAGTGACCCTCCTGCCTTGGCCTCTAAAAGTTCTGGGATTACAGATGGAAGCCACTGTACCAAGTTACTTTGTATAATTTTTAACATAAACATAAATATTTTCAGAAATAGAAATGTTAAAACCATTGGAGGAAAATATATTGTAAAGTATACAATAGAAAAAAAATCAAACAAAATACAACAAATACAACAAAAAATTATCAAAATATTCAGAGGAACAAAACAAAATCTAGTTTTAAAATCTTCAGAATTCAATCCCATTATATCAAACATATAAAGAAACATATTCAAAGAAAAAGGCAATCAATAGAGACTAACCTCGAGATGACCCAGATGTTGGAATTAGTGTGGATTTTTAAAGTAGTTAGTTATTGTAATTCTTACTAAAATCAAAACCCCAAAAACCCTTAAAATAAATGGATAGGAAATCACAGCAGAGAAGAAGAAACTACAATAATAACAGGCTCAAGTGGAAATTCTAGAAGTGAGAAAGTTTTCAAAATTAAAAAATAATAATCTGTGTTCAGGAGCAGCTTGGAGGTGGAAAAGAGTCAATGAACCTTAAAATACAATTGAAATGATTCAATCTGAAAAATGTGGGCAGTCATAGGTTGGGGTGAGGGAGCTTTTCCTTTGGTTAATGTTTTAGGTAATCTTGGTTCTGATAAGATTACTAGACTGATCCGTCAGGGGCATGCTAAGCCAGAGTTTATCTTGGTTTCAGTAGTGCTTTAAACAAAACTCATATACTTGTGTACAAGATGGAAGAAGAGTGGACCAGATGACAATATTTAGATGCAGCCATTCTTAACCTCCGTTGCTCTCCCAGTGGTCTAGCTGGGGTTTGTATAAAGTGGAATGGGAGGAATAGGGAAGGAGCCCACACCTACCCTCTCCCCTTGTCCACTTGTCCTGCTTCACTAGTGGATAAAGTCCACGGGAACAGGCAAGTTATTTTAAATCTGTATCTTCTGTTGTCAAGATCTGTAATCAGTTCTGCTCGCTGGACTGGGGACAGGAACCAAGGGAACATGAGGGTGAACGGGTTGACATGGAGTCCAGGAACACACTGTGCCTACATGCAGAATGTTTGTGCCAGGAAAGCCAGTCAGCAGGCAGATGGTCTCAGGTACCAAGCTAGTGTTGTGAAGCAAGATTCAGTCTCTTGAAGGCGGTGTTCCTCATTCTGTGGTTTGTATCACTTGCTCAGAATGACCTGGAGTACTTGTTAAAATGCAAATTTTGAGCCCAATCCTAGACCTCCTAAGCCTGCATCTCTACGGATGGGTCTCAGTAGTCGATATTGGAAATGTGCATGTTCCTAGGAGATGCTTATGCATACAGCTGTTGTGTTTAAGGGTTAGGGAGCTGGCAAAAGCAAGGAATACACCAAGCCCTTGGGTGGGAAGGCTCCATAACCTTGACACTGTTAACATTCTGGGCAGAACAGGATTCTGCCGCATGCTTCGCAGCATCCCTAGCCTCTACTCTCTAACACCGTATTCCAGTTGGGAAAACCAAAAATGTCCCCTCGGAGGCAAAATAGTCACCAGTTGGGAACCGGAACCACTGCTTTGTGGGATCAGAGTGGTTACTTTGTTCCCAATCCAAAGATCAGAACACACAATGAGAGAAAGTCCAGCTATTGGAACTGGAGTGTCAAGTTGAAGCTAGACCTACAACAAAAGCTCCAAAAGCTCCTTTATAGGGCTGATCCCATGCCTCAGCTACCTAGCTTGTACAGATGCCATGTAACTCTAGATTTGGTGACAGAAGGAATTTAAGGCTAGAACTAGATAGGGTCTTTCAGGTTAGGCCAGCACACAACGTGGACTTTTGACATCATCCGGATGCTTGAACCAACCTCAGTCTTGAGGCAGAATTTCCCGTGGCATCTGATACACAGCCTGGATTTGGAGCACTCACTGGGATTAGATGCCACGGGAATATTGTGTTTAGGAACTCTGAAAGAGACAGGCTTCAACAAAGCAGACCTAAGCAACACGTAGCGTCTGAACTTCTTTATCAGCTTCCATTCCAGCCCACGAGGACAAAAGCATCACATACATACCCACTGTGGCAAACCTGTCCTCAGTAGGGAGTTTCCCCAGTACTACTCTCCCCTCTGTTCTGAGCCTACTTGCTCCTTTGTAATGTTTCCACTTTCTGTCCCACTCCCTAATAGATGATTTGTCCTCTCTGTCCAGCCCCCTAGTTCTGATATTTGGATTGTCTGTGATCTGGATAGTACTTAGGAGGTAGAATCAAAGCCTTGTTGATTGGATTGGGAGTTTCTAACTTCCTATGAAAGGCACTGCTTAAGCATCTATTGTTTAAAGTAAAGTAAGACTATGATCCATTAAGAAAGATTCCACAAGTAGCGCAGGAAGAATTGGTTTCTAGTACACTTCATGCTTCAGGACAGGAAATCCAGAAAAAAATTCTGTGGTACGTTAAATGTGTACTGTAAGTTTCATTTCCATGTGAAAAACTGTAGTTAGCTAAAAAGTACATCCATGAAGAATCCTGATTAAACTTGTTTAATCCTGGTTATACTAGCTACTAGCTAAACAATAATTTCACAACAACTCAAGAACTCTGTAAAAGCATTTCCTCTGAATATTTCATTCAGAAAAAAAAACACAAAAAGATAAGACAGAGACAAAAATCCCAGTCATCTACAGTATCTGTCAGCTTTCAATTTGGTTCTCTTGTTTAAATAAAGAAAAATAGTAAAATTAATCTATGTAAAACATGCCATATGTATTCAACTGCTACTAAATATAAAAAGCTTTAAAACTGTGTGTTCAATTTTGGTTATTGTATTACCACAACACTTATATTAAAACATGTATACTTTTAAATTTGGTTTCCATAAAAAATGGATTCTAATCTTATAAAAGTTATTTCCTAATATTCAATAAATGTTGCCCAAGGGCTTTTCAATCCAAATAGCAATTTTAATTATTCTGGAATTTAAGGGTGCTCTAGATTTCCATTTAACAGGGTGAGAATGCTGTATTATTACAAGTGAAAAAAGTTACAGGACATAGAGCTTATTCCGTTTTAGAGTCCATATCCTGATTATATTTTATATCCTCTTCTTGATTTCTTACAACTAGATACATATTCATTTGCTCAGCTGGAAAAAATTCTTAACATTATTTACTGACTTTAGGTATGAACTCTACCAGCTAGTTAACAGGAAATATGTAATTAAACATTGCCTTTATCAAGTAATGTAAAAAAAGGGTAAGAGTAACTTTGCAACATAGGACTTGAATGAGCAGCTGGTGATTATCAAAATCTGGCACTTAATTGATTTATACTTGTACACTCACAGCTAAACGACTCTACCTGTTTTTCTATGTTGTAAATCTAGGACATCACTTATCTACATAGGAAGAGTAATAAATATTAATAATGTGCTATGATAAACATCCTGCACTCTTCCAAATCTTGCAATAAAACTGCTTCAATTTCACTTATTTAGCTTTTATACCTAGCTTTTTAGTTGATATATGCTTATTTTAAGGAACCTGAACTACTCTAACAGAATCCACATAATTTTTGTATTAGTCAAACTGCTTCTTTCTAACTCTGATTCTAATAGTTATAAAAAGATAATGATAAATTTATGAAGTAGATACAGTCAAACCTGAATTTCTTAAAGTATATACTTAGAATCGGTTATAATTTTTAGATATTCTTTCTTGACAGTCTTTTCCCAAACTCATGATGTGCTCTCTAGGTAATACTGCCACACTCATAAATTATAAATAAAGACAAAAATGTGAAAACTACAGTAATTTAAGACAATATAGGTTTTCTACATGCCATTTCTATTGGCTACTGAAGATAGTGAAAATAAGTAAATAGCTACCTGTCCAGAAGCGTTTCATGCAAAAATCCATCTTTCTGAGCCTTTTTAAGAATTTTACTGTATTCTTTACTTATTTTAAGTTTGTGGTCTTGGAAGCTCTGAAATTTCTTTCTGCAAAGAAAATGTCTTCATTGAAAAATACCTCAAACTCTGATTATACATATTTACTACTAAATATATAAATACTGTTAATTTCTTTTTCACTTATTAAAAAAGTCTAATTGTAGGCCAGGTGCAGTGGCTCACGCCTGCAATCCCAGCACTTTGGGAGGCCAAGGCAGGCAGATCACTCGAGGTCAGGAGTTCGAGAACAGCCTGGCCAACATGGTGAAACCCCGTCTCTACTAAAAATACAAAAATTGGCCGAGGGCAGTGGCTTGCGCCTGTAGTCCCAGCTACTCGGGAGGCTGAGGCAGGAGAATCACATGAACTTGGGAGGTGGAGGTTGCGATGAGCCGAGATCATGGCACTGCACTCCATTCTGCGGGACAGAGCGAGACTCCGTCTTGGGGGAGAAAAAAAAAGTCTAATTGTATTTTTTTTAATAAGGTGGAGTTTTTGAACAACAAGATGAACTTTGTGACCTCTCAAGAGGAGGGCCACTCATTGACTGGGTAGCACAAGGCCCCACTTCTATTAGGGCATGCTGGCTGGAGTCCCCTGTGTCCTGGCCAGAGAACAGCCTTTGCCTGGCATCACGCCCATTCTATGAATGGAGAGGTTGACTAACCCGACTGAGTAGCTTTGGGAGCTGGTAGGATGATTAGGAAAACTGAACCCTCAAGAAAAGAAAAGAATTTAGCTCAGTGCTCTGTCCTATAGGCTACATCGTGTTGCCTCTTCTTGTCCATCAGTTTTTATTTTTTCAGACGGGATCTTGCTCTATCTCCCAGGCTGGAATGCAGTGGTGATCAGAGCTCACTGCAGCCTTGAACTCCTGGGCTCAAACAATCCTCCTGTCTCAGCCTCCCAAGTAGCTGGGCCTACAGGCATGCACCACCATCCCCAGCTAATTAGGTAATTTATTTTGAAAGCACTTTGAGAAGCACTTCACTGTCAAATCTGTAGGTCTAAAAGGAAAAGAATACACACACGTAATTGATTTCACATTGTTTTATATTTCCTTTGTCTTCTTCTGGAATGTCATCTTTTTCCTTGGTTTCTCTTTCAGCACAGGATCTAATCTAGATATTGGAAAAGAGAATCCAATGGGTTATATGTTTATCTTCCACCTTCCCCACTTTACGTATCACATAAGAATATTCGAGATGATTTCTTATGCAGAAGAAAAAACTGAGCAACTATATTCAGAAAAAGACAGGTTCTGGCTATGCGTTTTTAATTCATATATATAATCTATATGAGTAAGTGCTATCACATGCTTCCTCCACAGCCCTTGTGTCAGAAACACTACAGACAAAATTATTTCAGAAACATTTTACACATCAGATCCTGCTAGGCAATAAAGAAATCATTCATTTAATTTTGTCCTCCAAGTGAATACACTAGGATCAAATTATCCCTAGTAGACAAGTGTTCATTTGATCAGACTGAAAGCTTAATAGCTATTTTACATTGCACAGACTATTATCAAAGTATTAAAACTTTTAACATTTCACAACTTGTTTTTAATTAATTGGAACCCACCTCTTTTACTGGCTTCTTATATTCTCCTAAGTTTGGACAGATATTTACTATCACATGTCATAAGTTAATTGATCTGCATTCAACAATTAGGATCATCCACAGAACAGGCAATTGGCAATGGTAAGGACTCATATCTCCTAAATGATCTCTGTGGCCAGAGTCCAGTTCCAGGGCTGCTTAGAAAGTGATGACAAATAACGTGTTTGTGCCAATGACATCTTTGTGACAGTTTTGATTAGAGGGGTCCCAGACCTGAAAACATTCCCTGCTAGGGCCTGTAACACAATGCTACTTTTAGTAAGAGGGATCTATGTTCTGGTAGATAAGGCAAGGTCATAAAGGTGAAGGGCTGACAGAGATTAGGAGAGCCTGCAATTGAATGGTATGAAAAGAGTCCTAAATAATCACTGTTCAGAGCTTCCAAGTACTTAACTAAACAAAGAGACCCAGAAAACTTTGTATTTCATCTGAAAATTGCTTTAAATAGTGAAAAACGCAATCTTTGTGTAAGTATCTTTGTATCTTTGTATAAGTGCAAAGCACTGCACATATACTTGCAATTGTTGCCTTCAATAACACTTTTGTGATGATATCCAGATGAAAAATAATTTACACATGATACAATAAAATATAAATAAATAAAATTAAATGTAATCACAAACCCATCTGTATTTCCTCAATGACCTGTTTCCTGAGAAGCAATGTGCTATGAAATACTGAGAGTGGCCTCTGGAGTCAGCTGAGCCTGGGTACACATCCTGTCTTACCACACCTTGAAATCACTGTGATTTCCATGAACTGACTGACAAAAACCACGAGGATGTAAGGAGGGTCAGAGGCTGTCTTCCTGTCTGTAAGGCTGAGCTCACATCCACCTCACAGGAGCATTATGGAAATTCAAGACTACATCGCATGTGCCAGATGCATGCAACGAAAAAATATAACATTTCACTTCTCTAACTGTAAGAAAAACTTACATTTTAGATTGAAATTGTTTGAGCTTTAGATTTGAAATTATCTGAAATCAAGACTATTCTAAAAAGAAAATCAAACATATGACCGGAAATCTAACATGAAGCACGTACAGAGAATTGATAGATGCTTTTAAATTACACTGGTAGTAGAGAAAAATGTAACATTAATTTTTATGCTCTAATTATAAGAACGAAGGGCATTTTAGAAAAGGCATTTAACCCCCTCTCTTAGAGCCTTCCACTCTGGCCCCCACAATGCCTTACAGAGCAAACCTGGGTCAGACTGGATGCAACCTGTGATTCCCAACAGAGACAAACAAAGCAAGGTTCAGGCTGCTCAGTACTGCGATAGAATGCCAAGACACAGAAAAGCCATGTGTCAAGAAGGGGGGAGTTATTCTTTAGACACATCCTGGTATATGTTTATCATTAAAGATCAGTGGCTTTTGTAAGTCTAAAAAATTAAGCCTTAAATGTTTTCATCACATTCCAGTTAACTACCTGATTAATCTAGGTTATATTAACAGTATTATTTAGAATTTCACCTTGAAATGAAGATGTCTGTATAACTTTTACAATGATGTAAAACAAAGAGTAGGATTAGGGAGGCCACAGGCTACTGGTGCAATAGCCAACGCATCTGACTACGGATGAGGGAATTTAGCCTGGAATAAGGAACTTTTATTTCCAGCTTAGTGATGCACACAAATTTTAAAAATAAAATAAAATCATGTTTTATGTGATTCATGTTTCTCCTAATGCAAAGAAGACGGGTACTATTAATAAAAATATTTTTAAAATGTAAGGGCTAAGGCCCCAGAAGTTCTGCTATGATTTTTTATGTTTCATAGAGTGATTATCATCACAGAAGCTCAAGCATTACATAAATACAAATGCGTATACCCCGACCTGGTAATTCTGCTTCTGGAAATTTATCTTCAGTTCCACCCGCACATCTACAAATTGATGCATATTCAATATTATGTACTGCAGCACTGTTTATAAGAGCAAAAGACTGGAAACAGCCTAAATTTCCATCTACAAAAGACTAAATAAATTAAGGTACATCCCTAAAATGGAATATTATGTGGCTGTTAAAAAAGAGAGAGAGAGAAAGAGAGGAAAAGCAAGAAAAAGAGAAAACTTCCTACATTCAAACTAATAGTAGAAAACTCTCCAAGATACAATTTTAAGGAAAAAAAATTCAAAGTTGAGAAGACTATAGAGGAGGCTGCCTTTAGTGTAAAACAGTTGAAAATTATAGATATATTCATATGTTTATAAAGAAATTTTAGGAGGCTATAAAAAAACAAAGGGAAAGAGGAAAAGGAGGTGGGAAACAGGTGAGTAAGATGCATGGCAGGCATATGTCTTCATCTTCATATGCTTTTATTTAAAAATGTTGGACCATGTGTACACGTTATCTATTTTAAAAATTAGATTTTAAAGTACAAGAAAACAAGAAAATGAAAGCTTAAAAAGAGCATGTGGAACTACCAGAAAAAGATACTAATCCATGGAGATAATGGCAAGGTAGCTCCTAGATGCACTGATTTCTCTACCACATTGTATAAACAAGCCATCAACTATGGGATTTATAATTAAAAGTGACTCTATTTGAAACACCACATTATTAAAAGCCATTAACTAAATCTTTAAAGTGACTGTAAATGATGACTTAACATTTTAAAGAGATACAGTCACATCGCATGTGTGAATGCAGTCATCTGTATAAAATGTCATCATTACCTTGATCATTTCTTCTTCTCCTGCTGTTTTACTTTTTGCACTGCATCTAATAAAGCGGCTATTTGAGGCCGAGAAAGCCATTTTCCCCTAAGTGAAACAAAATAACAAAATAGCCATGAGGATTCTTCTTGTAGAAGAAACATTAAGTGTTTACACTGAATTAATTTTTCCTCCCTGATTTAAAAATCACAGAAAAGAACTTAGAGAAAAACCTGAAAAATATAATACAAGAACATATAGAAAAGGAAACCAAAATCACCTTTCATTTTACTATTCAAAGATTACCACAATAAACATTTGTAGCATATCTTCCTAGTAGGACTATTCTAATTAGATGAGGTAGGATTGCTTCCTTTCTAAAAGACCTACTGAAGATAAAACTGATTTAGTTCTGTTTGAAAAATTAACTTTAAAGATGAGAACATAATTATGGATGCATACTTTATTCAAATATTAGCATTTTAAGTAAAATTTATTTTCTTCACAATTAGAAAACATGAAAAGGTATATACAATGCCTTTGGTGTTTTTAATTTAAGAGTCAATGTCTGAGGGACTTTTGTGTGTGAAAATAAATATTCATATACATTTTTAGTTGTTTAATGTTTGATGTATTACACTGCTTTCTATTAAACAAAACTTTAAAAACTGATTTTCTTGTGTATCTAAATCTGGGTTATAAATTTGGTTAGCTTAACTCCCGTAACAAATATAACGTTTATTTATAACTTGTATTTGGTTGATTCTTTTGGAAAACTTGGAATACCATAACATTTAGACAAAATATTTATAAATACAATGATTACAAAATATGTTAACCTTATATCACATCCAGTTAAAAACGTGCTGATAACATCGATTTAATTTCTTAGTCAAGTCACAAGGGCTGGGTGTTCTCTCATCTGGATGGCTCCTGGTGAGCCCTGGAACATGGTGGTGGGGTCCAAGGTGATTTAAACCTGTGTCACAGATTATTCAGCTGAGTCCTTTTTGCAAGAGAGTTTTAAGACCCTCTTTCATTTAAATTTAAATTTTTGAAACTTAGTGTCCTTCCTAAAAATAAAATGAAATGAACTTTCCTAAAGTGTTGTATTATTAGTACTATCTAAGTCATCATCCTGGCCTTATGAAATATTGGCATTTTCTACTGGTGTAACTTTTATTAGAAGCATCTCATCGTAACTAGTAGGATGATCTCAAAGGGGTTGCAACACATTAGCAGGTAATGAAATCAATGTAGTGTTTCCTGAATGGTATTGTGTGGGTGGGGGGGAAAAGGAAAACACACAGACACACAGAGGAAGGGTAAAAGAGAATAAGAAATATCAAAGTGCATAACACATGGATAAGTAAGTATTGTTAAGTACAACTCTTGCTTCAGTTATACATATGTGTGTGCTGGGCTGCAATGTAAAAATGCATTTCTCAATGGATTGGGTAAAAATACTTTTCAAGTCACTGACTTAAGATTTTATCCTAGGGGATGAGGAAATTAGTCTAAGTGATTACCTCTTTCTGGTGGGATGTTTGTTTAATCTATCATCTTAGAAAACACTGCTGAGTTCCTATTTTCAGTTCATTATTGTATACTACCAAAGCTGCTACTCAAAGGCTGAGCTTATCTTCTATTTGCTTGTTCTGCGTGATGCCCACTGGTCCTTACTGTTTTTGATATAGTTATCTACTTTTTAAAGACAGTTTAGCACTCACATATTTTTGTTCAATCTTTACTTCTCACACAGAAAAAGGAAATTATGTATTCTGTATCAACAAAGATTTAACAAAACATCCATATACTACAACTACTTACTAAAATTAAGAATTAGTATACTATCTTTTTTTCTCATATTAAATCTTTTCATACACTATTTTAAGCTTATGAACTGAAAGTCTTTTAGAGATAATTTACTTCAATGAACTATTATTATTTATATTTTATATGCAAATTGTCACGACTTGGTCTTAGCTAGCTCTACTGTTCGCTTACAGTCTGTAATGTTTCTGAAAACATCCATGATTTCTGCTACAAAGAAGACACTTAGGAACAATTCTGTTTTCCTACTCTGTGACCTAAAATTGACTGGTTCTTCAATGGAAATGAGATCCATATCTAGGCACTAAGGGTATACAGAAATAATTGTGGGCAAAAGTACTAATGCTATTTTTGTTGCACTATATTTTGAGATCTCTTTAAGGCTCTATGTTCTTACTGATTTATTCCTATTTAATGTATTATACTATTGCATCCTACTTTTTCTTTTTAAATATATTATGATTGACTGTTACAGACTTTCTGTTAAATTGACAGGGAGTTTTTATAAACAATAACAGCACTTACATTTTTAAAGACTGGTTCCCATTGTTCTCTTGGTCCAATTGCATCTGAATGCCCAACAACAAGTTCATCTGAATTTATACCAAGATATTTTCCATAGCCAGATTTCAGGGTGATTCTGTACATTAATAAGATAGATAAAAGTTAAAAACTGAGAGGAAATTAATTATAGGGCATCAAAACAGGACATGTGTATGTGTGTGGGTGTGTACATATCTAAAATTTCAGACTGGACATATTCCAAGTGTTCAAAAGATGCATGTGGCTGAGTGGTGACTCACTCCTGTAATCTCTGTGCTTTGGGAAGCCAATGGGAGAATTGCTTGAGGCAAGAAGTTCAAGATCAGCCTAGACAACATAGTGAGACCCCATCTCTACAAAAAATTTAAAAAGTTAGCTGGGCATGGTGGTGTGCACATGTAATACCAGCTACTTGGGAGGCTGATGCAGGAGGAGTGCTTGAGCCCAGAAATTTGAGGTTATAGTGAGCTATGATCACACCACTGCCCTCCAGCCTGGGTGACACAGTGAGACTATGTGCCTTCAAAAAAAAAAAAAAAGCTACATGTGACTGGTTGTTGCCATATTGGACACTGCAGATTTAAATTTAGTTTTATATTTTGCTTTTTTAATATAAACATTGTACCTTATATATTATGTAACAAATATTTTCAAAATTCATCATTCTTCAATTATACCTCTTTAGTTATAAACTTCAATAATAAATTACTAAAACTATGTCATCAAACTGTTTTCCAGAAAATGCTGCTTCCATTTACATTCTTACCTCAAATTAACAGAGTATGTTTTGTATCATGGATTTTTTTTTTTAAACATTATGACTCTAAAAAAATACTCAAAAACCTGATATGAAAAAAAAGTATCCTATTAATTTGCATTTTAGTAGTTAACTAGAATAACAATTGTTTTTCTTTTCCTTTCCTTTTTACTTTTTAGATTATCTGGTAATGTCCCTTGTCCATTTTTCTATTCAGATCTGATTGTTTGCAATTTTTCTACTGGGGTCTTCAGTGCTATGAATTCTATACAAGATACATATGAACAGTAAGAACTCACTGCCTATTAAGATTGTTGCAAATATTTTCCTCATTTGTCAGTTGATTTTCTTTATAATCCTTTTCTGTTTATAATTGTAAAGCAGTTTAAAATTATTGAATTTTTTCTTCCTCTGCTTTTATTCTTTGTCTTTCACCCTACTTATCAGACTTTCAAAGAAAGAATAGGAATAATCATCTTAACGTGATTTTTTAAAATTATGATTTCTTTTACCTTACCAAGAATCTCCTCGGATGCCAGAATTGACTTTTACTCCTTTATACGTTAATGATTGTATAACAGAAATCATTATCATGTTGATGTAACCAATTACTAAAATATGTAAATTCACTTTCAGTAACTTTTACCCAAAGAATCATTCTATATTTCTGCACAAGGTGAGAATAAAAAAGGTTACTTTATAAAATGACTGTAACAATAGTGAGTAAAAATATTCTTTTGGTCATTATGATACTGTAACGTTCTCTGCTGGTTTCAACAATATTCCTTTTTTTAGTCTTCCTGTTTGTCTTTAGACTTCCAAACAGTGAGTTTAAATATCATACCAACAGTGAACCAGGTTTTGTACCATTTGATATATTTTTTAATCTATCTTATTTGGTGTGTGAAATTATTAATCTTCATTTTTTAACTCACATATCTTTTTTCCAGCCTAGCATTATATATTGATAGGAAATCCACTAAAAGTAGATCACAAAATCTACTTCTCAAAAAAGCTATTTCATTTTTTATATCAAAATTACCATGGGCTTAAGACAGATACTAAAATTTTTAATGAATACAATTAAATTTTTAAAAACACTGGTTACTAATTATATTACAACATAAGCTCACCTGGAATCAGATAATTTGACAGCCGTAAACTGCTCTGGAGGACTAGGGCCCTCATCAACTATTGGAGAAAAAACATTTGAAAATAAATTTGACATTTGCTATAAACATAAAGACATTATTTTGCTTTAAAAATGTGGCTATTTTCTTCTGCAATTAAATGTAAGAATATTCAGATATACTGATGTCACTGTAATACTGTATCTTTGGAATCAAGATCTATTTTACCTTCTTTTAACTACAGTGCTAATTTTATACACTGAGTAAGACAGGGTGATATAATGTTTATTTAATAACTTTCGAGATAGCTTCTCTTTATGTTTTAAAATACAGTCATAAATAAGCACTTATTTAAAAAAGCTAAATGCTTTCATTTATTCAATGGATGGCCTTGCTGACCAAATGATACTGCTTTTTATCTTCTAATTACTTCGTATCTCACTAGTGCTTCCTCTAAAGGGCTAAAGAAAATGAGGAAACTTCAAATTGTTAAATGCACCCAGGTTAGTTTTGGTAATAGGTCTGAATAAAAAAGTAATTCAAACATGTTTGACTCAAATAGGTTTTCTTTTTTCCTTCCACTTACTATTTTAATTATTCATATTGTTTTGATTTCCAAAGATACTCTTCTGGAACTACACGGAATGTTTTCAAATGCTTATATTAGAAAGAGGGACTTGCCAATGGCTGGTAAATATTAAGGAATTAAAAAAAATTGGAAGAGTCAAATGCAACGGTTCCATTCCTTTGGAAAATGTTTGAGACTAGTTAGAGTTTGGCCTAAGTGAATGAATGTCCTAAAATCTACACTTGTGGCAGGATCTTCCCTTCCAGACAAACCTTCTTTGTGTGGAGCTCCCAGGGTAAAAAGACCATTGTTGAGTGCATGTATATAGGTTCCCTCATCCATTTCAATGGCTATGGTTCCTGAAATTTCACCAAAGTTTGTTACTGTCCACCAGATTCCTAAAAAATAAAATTGATATTTCTACTTTATATTTTAGTTTTGACACAGAGTTCTTTTTTATTATAACTTAGTTTTAAAAACTTTTTATTTTGCAGTCATAATAAATAATATGAAGATCTCACATATCCTTTACTCTCTTTGTCTCAATGATGACATCTTGCATAAGTATCATACATTGTTAGAATCAGGAAACTGACACTGATATAATCCATGAAGCTTATTCAAATTTCACCAGATTTACATGTACTTGTTTGCATGTATGTGCACATATTCGTGTGACTACCAGCACAGTCAGGATTAGGTTTTTAAAATACAAAATAGCAACATACAGCCAGGCATGGGGGTGCATGCCTGTAAACCCAGCTACTCGGGGAGCTGGGAAAGAGGATCACTTGAGCCCAGGAGTTCAAGGTTATAGTGAGCTATGATCACGCCACTGCACTCTAGCCTGAGTGACAGAGCAAGGTCCTGTCTCAAAAAAAAGACCAAAACAAAACAAAAGGCAACATGTGAAGGTACAAAGTGATATATGGAGAACGGTCTCTCTCATGATAGACCCCAGCCATCTATTCATGCCTGCTTTCCAGAGGCAATGCCTATCATAATGTTTCTTAAAAATGCCTCTACAGGAAGACTTTCTAGCATAGTAATCTTTTTTTTTTTTTTTGAGACGGAGTCTCGCTCTGTCACCCAGGCTGGAGTGCAGTGACATGATCTTGGCTCACTGCGACCTCCGCCTCCTGGGTTCAAACAATTCTCCACCTCAGCTTCCCGAGTAGCTGGGGTTACAAGAGCCTGCCACCATGCCCGAATAATTTTTTTTGTATTTTTAGTAGAGACGGGGTTTCACCACATTGGCCAGGCTGGTCTTGAACTCCTGACCTCGTGATCCACCCGCCTCTGCCTCCCAAAGTGCTAGGATTACAGGTGTGAGCCACTGCACCTGGCCAGTAATCTTAACTACGATTTTAGATTGAAAGTAAAATGAGCAGAATCTATGTCTATGTATACTAATTTCCAATTTGCCAACAGAAATGTTAGACTCTAGCCACAATTATTTTAGCAGTTGTCATAAAAGCTTACATCTTAATGTTAAAAAATATCCTCAAACCTTCTCCTAAATTGTACTTTAACTAGAGTAGAAATGAGTCAATCATTAACTGGATATGACATATTAAGGAATTCTTGTTAATTTTACAAGGTCTGATAATGACATAGTATAACGTATAAAAGTAAAGAACAAAACAGGTGATGAGAGAAAGACATACCACATTAAGAAATGTACATTTATGTGCTTATGGGTAAAATGATGTAATATCTGTGATTTTACTTAAAATTTTCTAGGAAAAATTGTGTGCGGGAGTGTGTATGAAATGAAACGAGATTGGCAAAATATTGATAATTAATGCTGGGGCCTGGGCACATGGGGGACTCATTATATTCTTCTATGTAGGGATTACTTTCGTATTTCCATAATAAAAAGGTTTTAAAGATTCAGTTAATTCCACTGCACAAAATTTTCTATTCAACTAAACATTTCATGCTTTTCATAATCAATTTTAAAATACATAAAATTTTAGCTAAAATGAAGTTGGATCCTTATCTAACACCAAATACAAAAAGTAACTTAACATAGACCAAAGACCTAAATGTAAGAGCTAAAGTTAGAAAACTTTTAGAAGAAAATGGGAAAAGCTTCACGACAATGAATTTGACAATGATTTCTTATATAGAACATCAAAGGCACAGGCAACAAAAGAAAACACAGACAAACTGGACTTCATCAGAAATAAAAACTTTTGTGCATCAAGAACCACTGTCAACAGAGTAAAAGGTAACCCAGAGAATGGAGACAATATTTGTAAACTACATACATTATAAGGAATTAATATCCAGACTATATAGAGAACTCCAAAAAGACAAATACCACAATTCAAAACTGGGCAAAGGATATACACGGACATTCCTCCAAAGATGATATACAAATGGTCAATAAGCACTTGAAAAGATGCTCAACATCACTAGTCACTAGGGAAATATAAATCAAAACCATAATGCAATGCCACTTCACACCCATTAGAATGCTATTATCAAAACAAACAAAAAACAGAAACCAAGAAAACCAGAAAAACAAATGTTGGGCAGGATGTGGAGAAACTGAAACCCTCTGCAATGCTGGTGGGAAGGTAAAATGGTGCATGTATTTAAATGCCACTGAAGTGTACACGTAAAAATAGAAAAATTGGCAAATTATATATTCTGTATATTTTACCTCCACACACACACAAAAACAATGGAGAAAAAGAAAATTAATCAAAATTAAAATTTCAGCTAAAGACGATTAGAAAGCAATAAAAGTAATGACAATTTAGGTGATTGAGTTATAGCTACAATTGTTTTCAGTAAAGGAAATAATGCTTTATTCAGAATCATTATGAACAGTGTTATGATTAGCAAGTCTTTCTTATAAATGTAATAGTTAATAATTTTAAATTAGTTTTATTTTGTATGTTCTATGCCATGTTCACCAAGTACACTTAATATTAAATAAAATCATTTAAATATAATATCTCATTAATGTTTTGCAAATAAAGAAGAAATTTCTGGCAGACAAGCTCCTCAAAATTTTCACCCTCTGTCCAAGTAGGAAAATGATACAATAACATTACTTATAATATTGTCAACTGAAAAAGAAATTACTTTGAGCAGATGCCAGTATTTCTTCTCAATGAGATTTCAAAGAAGAAAGCTAAACACAGTATCATCAAGAATTAAATGTGAGCATTCTGCTTACTTTATGCAAGTGGCCTACATTCAACGTTTGGAGGTATGCTTATATGTTTAACGACTAAAGTAACATAACATAATACTTAACGGTGCCACTCGGGGGTTTTAGCTGTGAAAAAGCAGTGGATCCTAAGAACAGTGGGCACTGAAGTTGCCTGTCTCTACGTCAGGTTACAGCTCAAGCCGTGTATATATGCTGCAGATGCCCAAGCTGAATTTAAGAGAATCCGCTCTAAAACATTACTTGCTATTTAGACACATGCTTAAAGTTGTTTCCTTTTAAACCTTAGGCAGATGGTGAAATATTCCCGCTGTGTTGTCTCACAATGCATAACAAAGCTTTTCACATATTTTCACATAGTTGAGAATGTTTCCATATGTCTGGCATGCCTGTAATCCAGCACTTTGAGAGGTGGAAGCAGAAGAATCACTTAAACCCAGGAGTTCAAAATCAGCCTAGGCAACAAAAGGAGACCCCCAGCTCTACAAAAAAATTAAGAAATTAGCTGGGTATGGTGGTACAAGCCTGTGGTCCCAGCTACTCAGGAGTCCGAGGTGAGAGGATTGCTTGAGCCTACAAGGTCGAGGGTGCACTGAGCCATGATCATGTCACTGCACTCCAGCCTGAGCAACAAAACAAGAGCCTGTCTCAAAAAAAAAAAAAATGGCCCGATGCACCAGTGTCATGGCTGATAAGATACTCCCAGGGCACCCTCATTCTAGTATCAAGGCTGTGAGACAGCTCACCTTACCTTCTGACTAACGCAGTGCTTCTGTGCTAAGGGCCCCCTTAAATCTCTACCTTCATTATGTGCTTGGCACAAAGGAATGATATATCTTAGATTTGGAAATGGAATTTTATTCCCAAATCTTACTGTAGTCTGAGTACCCTTCACAGACCTTCTATTAACCCATAGCTTACTTGGCTTTAGTTCCTGGGTAAATCAAATCTGTGTTTTGCATACTACGATGTTGTAAGTCAGTTGCTTCTGAATCTAGCAGAGCTCAGTGAAACTATTTGCTTACAGACATGCTCATTTTTATTAATGTCACACATGGTACTCTCCATGTGAAAGACAGAATTTCTTTCATCCTATTTACCAATCCCTTCAGATCCTTGTGAGGAACCAACAGAACAGCTTTAAAAAATTAAAAGGTTTTTTTCTTTCTCTTCACAAATAGGAACATGCTTATTTTTACGGCGAGTTTAGAAAATCCACAATGCAAAAGACGGTGGAAGGACAAAGAGAAAAAGACGCAGAAGGACTTCCTCTTCCAGCCAAGATGGACTTGCCCTCCCATCATGACCAATGAGAAAACTGAAACTGGATAGAATATTTGAGAGAACTGTTTTTGGGGATTGAAACACAGGCAGAACAGGACTGTGATATTTGAGAACAGGAAAACACAGGAGGCAAATCTAACACACACTTCTGTTTTCTGCCCAATGGCAGTTTCTTGACCATGCAGAGAGAGGTAGAGACCTCCAAAAATGAGGCAATGTCACTGTCACTAAGCTGAGAGTCTTGCAGTGCTAACATGTTTGGAGTTTATAGAATAAGGTACTGGAGAAGAGGGAACAACATACAGGTGAGGCCTCAAAAGAGTATGCAAAAGTTCTCTGCAGGTCTGGGGCCAAGGGCTGGGGGGAGTGCATACAGTAGGCAGGCTCCACAAGGCCCATGCAGAGTGGCTGGCACTTCTGAGGGCTGACTGGAGATGCCAGAGATCACACAAATTTGGGACATAGCAGAGTGGAGAGAACTCACCAAATATACCTAGAACATGTGGCTGAGGCCCATGAGGATGAAACTTTCCTAGAGTAAGAGTCACTGTCTAAGTCTACAGGCAAAAACCTAATAAATAAGCACAAACTAACAAAGGCCCAGGCTTGACAGGAGCAAAAGGGTGGTCAAATAATTTAACTAGGCATCAAGACATTTAACAGAAATAAAGGTTAAAATGTTATGAAAATGAAAGACTGAATTTATAAGGAAGACTTAACAATCCTAAATGTGTACACATGACAGCTTCAAAATACTTTAAGCAAAAACTGCTCAAGTAGACAGATCTAGAATTACAGCTGGAGATTTTAACATAACTCTCAATACATTGTAGGATGAGTGAAAAATCAGTAAGGACACAGAAGATGTGCATAGTCACAAGCTCCACCAGTTGATATAACTGACATCTAAAAAACACTGAACTACCGGGCGCCACAGCTCATGCCCGTAATCCCAGCACTTTGGGAGGCCGAGGCGGGCGAATCCCCTGAGGTCAGGAGTTTGAGACCAGCTTGGCCAACGTGGTGAAATCCTGCCTCTATTAAAAATATAAAAAAAATTAGCCAGGCATGGTGGCAGGTGCCTGTAATTCCAGCTCCTCCGGAGGCTGAGCCAGGAGAATCACTTGAACCTGGGAGGCGGAGGCTGCAGTGAGCCAAGATCGCACCACTGCACTCCAGCCTGCTGGGCAACAGAGCGAGACTTCATCTCAAAAAAAAAAAAAAAAAAAAAAAACCCTGAACCAACATCTGCAGAATACACATCCTTTTCTAGTGTACATGGAAATTCACTAAGAAAGTATGTTCTCCAACTATACTATAAATGAATTAGAAATCAGCAACAATATCATACCTATAATATCTCTATGTAGTAGAAATTAAAAACAGTACACTTTTAAATAACTCAAGTGTCCATGAAAAGAAAAATCACAAGGAAAACTAGACGATATTTTGAATGGAATTAAAATGAAAACAAAATGTGTTGACTATAACTAAAACTAACATGGAATGAGGAGATCTAACTCCTTTTTTAAGAAGCAATAAAACAAGAGCAAAGTAAACTGAAAATAAGTTAAAGGGAGGAAAAAAAAAAGAATGAAAATAAATGAAATAAAAAATGAAAAAAAGAGAAAATAAGTAATGTTGAAACAAGCTTGTCCAACCTGAGGGCTGCATGTGGCCCAAGCCAGCTTTGAATGCAGCCCAACACAAATTCATAAACTTTCTTGACATATTATGAGACTTTTTTGCTTTTTTTTTTTTTTTTTTTGGCTCTTCAGCTTATTGTTAGTGTATTCTATGTGTGGCCCAAGACAATTCTCCTTCCATTGTGGCCCAAGGAAGCTAAAAGATTGAATACCCCTGTACTAAAAGATCATTAATGATCTAAAATAAATGATCTTATAAAGAATTGATAAACCTCCAGCTAGACTGACTGATCCAGGAAAAAATGGAAAAAACAAAAATTACCAATATGAAGAGACTGCAATACAGATTAGATTCTACAGACATTAAAAGGATATTAAAGGAATATTCTGAACAATTTTATGCCAATAAATCCAACAACTTGGATGAAATGAAATTTTCCTAAAAGACACAAATTACCAAAATTGACAACAGAAAAATCTGAAAATATCTCTTAAAAAATCTTGATTTTCCCACAAAAAACTAAAACCAAACCAAACAAAACCCTCTAAGTACAGATGACTTCACTGGTAAATCCTATCAAACATGTAAAGAAGAAATCATACCGATCTTACACAGCTATTTCCAAAAACAGGGAAGGAGACAGCACTTCCCATCTAATTTTATGACACCCAATATCACCTTGACACCAAAATCAAATAAAGCCATTACAAGAAAAGGATACAAAAGTCCAATATCTCCCATCAACACCAATATAGAAATCTTATAAAGAAGAAAAACGAACACCTAGAAATCAAATCTAGCAATATCCCAAAAGACAACGCACCACAACCAAGTGGGGTTTATCTCAGGGATGTAAAGTTAGTTTAAAAGTTGAAAATGAAACCAATGTTATTCAATGGCAGAATGAAGAAAGTTGTATAATCATCTCAACAGATAAAGAAAGAGGCACTGGACAGCATTAAACATCGTTATGATAAAAACTCCCAAGAAACAAAGTTTAAAAGGAATGTCCTCATTTTGATAAAGTTTTTCTCTGCAGATCCTACAGACATCATACCATATGGTGGACTACTAAAAGTTTTCTGCCTAAGCTTGGAAACAATGCAATTATGCCCATTCTCGTGACTTCTGTTCAACACTATGGAAGTCCTGAACAGTATAATAAACCAATAAAAAGCAAGACAAGACATAAGGATTAGGAAGAAAGAAGTAAAACAATAGTCACAGGAAACATAATTGCAAATTTCTTAGTTTTCTATATAAACAAATCTTTAGAAGTAAGAAGTGAAACAGACTTATCAGACTACAAAGTCACTACACAAAAATCAATTGTATATCTACATACTGACAGCAAACAACTGGAAAATCAAATTCAAAAGTTCTACTGACAGTAGTGTAAAATTATAAAATACTTAAGAATAAAATTTTAAACAGGCATGCAAGACTGCTACATTGAAAATTATGAAATATTGAGGCCCAATATTAAGATGTTGATTCTCCCCTAAATTATCTGGACTCGATACTATTCTCTGAGAAAATCCAACAGGCTTCACTGTAGAAATTAATAAACTAATAGTAAGTACAAAGTTGGTGGACACACACTACCTTATCTCAAGACTTCATGAAATTATAGCAATCAAGAGAAATATACCAAAAGAAAAACAGACAATCGATAGAACAGAGTCCAGAAATAGACCAATACATAGAAAGTTAATTGATTTTTTATGAAGATATGAAACTGGATTAATGGAAAAAGGAAACACCAGTGGTGCTGGCACAAATGGCTATCAAGATGTTAAAAAAAAAAAAAGTAAATCTTGAAACCAAACTCACACCATGCCAAAAATTAATTTGAGATTAATGACAGATTTAATGTAAAAACTAAAACTATGATGTCTCTAAAAGACAATGTAGAATATTTTCCTGACTTTGGGGTAAGCAAAGATCTCTTAGATCAAAGAGATAAGGCAGTAACCATAAAAGAAAAAATAAACTAAGATTTATAAAAATTAAAAGCTTCTGACCATCCTGGCTAACATGGTGAAACCCTGTCACTACTAAAAACACAAAAAATTAGCTGGGCGTTGTGGCAGGTGCCTGTAGTCCCAGCCACTTGGGAGGCTGAGGCAGGAGAATGGCGTGAACCTGGGAGGTGGAGCTTGCAGTGAACCGAGATCGCGCCACTGCCCTCCAGCCTAGGTGACAGAGCGAGACTTCATCTCAAAAAAAAAAAAAAAAAAAAAAGGTGTCCATCCGAAAACCACCATTAAGAAACTCAGACTGGGAAAAACTCAGACTGGGAGAAAAGACTGATAACGCCATCAACTCTTGGCAAGGATGTAACTGGAGAACTAATTCATTCTTGGTGAGAGGGCAAAATATCACAACCACTTTAGAAAATTTTTGGCAGTTTCTTATATAGTTAAACATTCACCTATCCTTTGACACAGCAATTCCACATCTACATATCTACCCTAGATATTTACCCTAATTTTAGAATTGTTGATTTGCCATTTCAAAAACAATGATTCTTCCAGAATATTAGCTTTATACCATTCCATATTTTATATATTTTTTAAGCTACCATAATTTATGAAGATTCAAAATGCAACTTACCAAGTTTTAAAAGAGAAAAAAAAAGTATGGAAACAGCTAAACGGAAAACAGGCTGGTTAAGTGTGTTTGGGTCAATTTATTTCCAGTATCATTTACAGGCTACCCTGATATTGTATTTAAAATTTTCATTCGTTTCAGAGTTCACAAAATAATAATTTTTCCTGTGAAGATACTTCGTTTAAGAGACAACTGACTTCTACAACTAAAATGTATACATGTTCAAAGAAAATAACTTGTAAAATATATTTGGTTGAATAACATCTACATTAAGCCTTTAAAATTATGTATCAGAATCTCCGGCTATTAAGCAGTCTAATGGTGCCTACTAAGTCAGAGTTGTAATTCTTCTCTCCTGTGCTGTGTTCTGATAATGAAGTAAAGGCATCAGTAGCATCTACTGTGCTAAAGAATAAATGGAATTTACAACTGTAGGTAATATTTAAGCACTTTAAGACAAATATGAATACATCATAAATTTCTAACTAGGAAAATATTTTCAAT
The DNA here is from genome assembly GCF_000001405.40 of Homo sapiens. Classification (NCBI taxonomy): domain Eukaryota; kingdom Metazoa; phylum Chordata; class Mammalia; order Primates; family Hominidae; genus Homo; species Homo sapiens. Next base: position 10,959,012 of record NC_000022.11, read on the forward strand.
GAGATCTCAAGAAATGTTAACTTTTTTCAGAATAAAGCACTGAAAACTGACTCACCAACATATCAAGCTGGGTTTCTTCATCTTCTTCTCTTTTTCTCTTCTTATCTTTTTTCTTTTTCTTCTTACTACAGGACATAATGTATATAGATGAGTTTAGGTATATTGATTTGTGTGATAAATAAATATCGTAAGATTGAAACTTGGAAGTCTTTTAAGCTGTTTCATTTATAAATTATTGATTTAGGAAGACTTACATTGCTATGCTCTCTTAAATACAGTGCTGAGAATTTGCTTCAGGCTTTGTACATATTATGTTAAAGTTCAAAGCAGATTGTAGAGCCACACTTCAAGATTTTAAATCCTGATTCTGTCACTTCTTAGCTCTGCAATTTTTGGAAAAGGTACTGAATCTCTCTGTGAGTCAGTTTCCCCACTTAAAAAGTTAGGCTAATAATTTAACTCTTAAGGCTATTGTGAGGATTAAGAGGTAATATGTATCTTCACACATTGCTGGTGGAAATGTAAAATGGTGCAGCATCTACAGGAAATGGTTTGACGTTCCTCAAAAAGTTAAAGAGTTACCACATGACCCAGCAATTTTACTCCTAAGTATGTATACCCAAGGGAAATGAAAACATACACCCACAAAAATACTTACATAAGACTATTCACACTAACATTAGTCACAATAGTCAAAAAGGGGAAACAACCTAAATGTTCATCAACTGATGAATGGATGAACAAAATGTTACATCCATACAATGGACTACTACGCAGCCATAAAAAGGAACAAGTGCTACAACAATGATGGACCTCAAGAATGTTATAAGTGAAAGAAGCCAGATACAAAAGGCCACATGTTGCATGATTTCTTAGGAAATATTCAGAATAGGCAATTTCACATAGATAGCAGACTAGTGGTTGCCAAGGACTAGGAGAGGGGGAGGATGGGATGTGACTGCTTTAATGGGTAGGAAGAGATTTCCTTCTGAGATGATGAAAACACTGAGAAACTAGACAGTGGTGAACCTCTTGAATATATACTAAAAACCACTGTACAAAAGGGTGAATTTTATAATTATGAATTACATCGTAATAACAAAATAAAAAACCAAGAGCGATTTGAAAAAAGTTAATGTGCAAAGTGCCTACAACTATTTCTTGGCACACTGAAAGTGCTATACAAGCATTAATTATGATTATTACGATAATCTTAAGACACTCTTGTCTGCATAATCATCATAAAGTTTTCAGAAGATAACTCACCACTTCTCACAGGAAATTCACAGAGTAAAAATCTCACATTCATTCAGGATATACCTGCCACTTATTCTGGCATCTTCATGAGGCCAGACTCCTCGAGAGGGTTCTCAAAGGCAGTGGCTTCAGCTCACTCCTTGATACTTTCTTTCCATCTCGCCTAAAAATATCAAAACCTCTGTTTATCACGGAGACCAGGAGGAAATGCTCAATATTTATATGTACAGTCAACCTCGGGCAAATCTGCCAGTTAAAAAAGAAGCGGGGATATGAGTGCACAGGTATTTTTCTCCTAAAGAGCTAATAAATTACCACTACGACCTCCTCCTCACATTTGGCTCAATTTATTTACTGCATATATGTTCTTTCATTTAATCCTCACAGTCTTCTAAAGGTATAAAAATGGTCTGAAAGTATAAATGTGTAAACGGAGGTTCAAAGATATTTGATCTCTTAATGAGTAAATGGAAGTTCAGACATATTAACCAATTTGCCACAAATTACAAAATTAGTAAATGACAGAGTGCAGGTTCCAGCCCATATCCCTATCAAAGCCCATATACACCTCAACCACTGTGTGATTCATCCTGGTTTCACTCTACATATTAGCTTACAAAAAATTAATCAATAACTTTTCCAGGAAGAGACAATGGAGAAAAGAATAATCCCTAATAAAGGAAGTTATCATCATGAACTACAAGATCAGACTAACGCAGACCCACCAGGCAGAGGCCTGGAGAGATGCCTCAGGGGACCCAAACTCGTGGATACGGGGCCACGGGTCACCCGCCCGTCTATCCTGTTTCCAGGGTCATCCGCGCGGGAGACTGCCCCTCTCTGCACAGGCGCCAGGAACCGCGGTCCGGCCTCCATCCAGCCCTGACAGGGGCCAGGGCGAAGCCTGGGATGCCACAAAGCCAGCTCTCTGCGCCACGACTTCCACCGGATTCGCGAGGGTGGAGTGCGTCCAAAAAGAACTGAGGAGGCTCCCGCCACAGCTGCAGGACCCACCTCTTCGCCTTGGTTCCCTTGAACACGAGCTTGGTAGACTTCACATGAGAGTACTCGACTCGCAGAAGTCGGCTCCGGGAGACTTCTGCGCGGAGAGGCTGAAGCCGGCTCAGGACGAGTATGTGACCCGGAGCAGCACCAGGGCGGGGAGGATCAGAAGTGGAGGCAAAGTAAACACTCCCTGACAGCGTACTTCTGTCCAGAACCTGCCTTTGTCTTGACCCAAACGCTGAATGGCTGAGATTTCCACTTCCGAGTTTCTGCTGGGGAGCTATGGCGGCCGCAGAGGGCTGAAAGGTGCCTCACGCAGCTGCTCCCTGGCTCCCTCTCGAGGAGCCCCCAAGGATTCACGCCTCCCTGACGGGAGTAAAGCCCGCCCGAGGCGCCGGTGCTGGCGGTGGCGGGGCTGCCGGTCGCGCTGTGAAACGGCCTCCCGCTAGAGCTGCGGGCTGGCGACGGTCCCCGCGGGGGCGGGAAGCGACTTAGGCTGCCCTCGTTGGCCTGCGGCGGCGCGGCTGGAAGCGCGGGCCACTCGTGCGCGGGTCACTCGGGGCTGTGCCTCGTGTGACTGTGTGTGTAGGAAACAAGCAGGAAATACCCTAAAATAGAATGAAGCACCATGTTGAGGGCCGCGGACGTCATGAGTCCTGTGGGAATGTGGGCTGAGGTGGAGAGTTATGGTGGCGCGTGTTACAGGCTCAGGGGTCAGGAAGAAGGCTAATCGTGGAGGCGGCATCTGTGGAGGGTCTTGAACGCTGGGCAGGCTTTTGCCCGATAGAGATGGAGGAAGCTAGTCCTGTCTGATGGAGGAAACAGGGCGGAGGTGTGGAGGGAGCCATGCAGCGCTGGTGTGAGGAGCCGTGAGCAGGCCAGGCCTGTAAAGCAGAGTGATGGGAACCAGGATAGAGAAGGCAAGTCGGGGTCCTGTTTTCGCTGAAGAATTTGAATGAAATCAGTAAACAGGTGAGAGGGATCCATCGCAAGAGCATGGGATGAAACGAGGAGTAGTCCACGGTGATTCCTCTGCAGCGGTGGGTATTATTAATCGCGTATGTGACACCAAAACGGTGGATATTATTGATCGCGTATGTGACACCAAAACCACCCCACTCCGCTCAAGCTGTGGCTCTTTCCCTAAAGTAGAAAACAGAGACCAGTTGGGTTCCAAGCATCCACGAAGATTTTATTAAATTCGTGATCCCTGGTGGTACCATGGAGTCAGGATTGGCTCATCTCAAACCTGACTCAGAAAGAAAACCATCTCAATGTGGAGAGATGAGCGGCCTTACCCGCTACCATAACGTATTTTCTGGTGTTTTCACAGTGCTGCACTTCCTAATCCCCATTCCAGGGCAATCCACATGCCATGATGTCCAGAGGCATTAACAAGGGAGACACACAGGGGCTCCTCACGTTTGCTTTCCGCGGTTTTGATGAAAATCTCACTTTCCTCATCTCATACAATGTGGTTAGTAATCGTATCATTTAGGGTTGAAGAATTAAATGGTATGAATTATATAGGGTGCTTATGATAACCCATGGAAAATGCCTAGGATATGTTAGCTATGCTCATCACCAACATCGTTATATGATGGTAATAATCAGATAGGAAGGCCGACACCAAGAAAATGGATACATGCTCTGAGGGAATGAATATGGAGAGATCAGAAGGTCAAGAACAAAGCTGTACAACATGTCTGCAGTAAAGGGATAGAGAAAAGAAAGGCTATAAAAGAAGGAATGAAACAGAGTTAGAGTAAAATTATAAAATCAAAGCTAAGGAGAATTTCTAGAAAGGGTAATATCATTTAATATCATAGAAGTTTAGGAGCACAAGATGGAAAAAATGCCGGTGGGTAACTGACATTGAGGCAGTCTTTAGGGAAGCTCCATTTCCAATAGAGAAGTAGACAGAAAGTCAGCTTGAAGCAGGGACTAGGTGAAGAAGCTGTTGGCTGGTCGCATGGGGAAATAAATAAGGGATGGCATATGCCATATTTCTGTATTTCTTTCTTTCTTGCCCAGCCTCTATATATGCATAGAGTTTGGCAAAAACTTACAAAAAATAAAAATGAAACCAATTTCATTTGTAGACTCAAATACAATGCTTTGTGTTAGAATCAAGATAAATTCATGTCTCTCCCTTCTATTGTCACAGTCAGTTTTGAAATTAAACATCAGCTTTTCTTCCTCATTAAAATCATTTTCAACTCCTCCCAGGTGTTGATGGTTTGGGGGAGTTACATAAACAGTCAGGTCTTGATGAGTAGAGGAGGAGGGAACAAACACTTTCAGCAAGGGCAGAATTCTGAAATTCTGCTCATATTTTTCTCCAGTAACTTTCCTATGTTTGTGAGGTTATTCAGTCATAAAGATCCTAGTGACATTTTTTTCAAGCTTGACTAATCGTAATCACTGTGGACGTTTGTTTAAAATGTGTATTCCCAGGCCTCTCACCTGCTGATTCTGATTCAGAAGATCACGGATGGGACTCAGAATACATGTGTTTGACAAGTACCACAAGTGGTTCTTATGGTCAGGCAAATTTTGGAATCTAACCAGGAATTTATGTTTTTATGACTGGCAGCTAGAAAAGATTCCTAGAGTCTTTGCTTTTTGAAAATAAAATATTCCTTCTTTAAAAGGAAAATTGTATGACTAGATACAACATTTATACGTGTGGCACGTGTACTATATGGTGTGCTTTTGTCATATTTACGTTAAAGATGTGTAAGAACACTCTGCAAAAAATTATATATTAAATGCAAAGAGGGGTAAGTCAGGGTAGGGGAGAAATGGGAAGGGTGTGCTTATTGTTGCTAAAAGGTATAAAAGCCAGAATGATAGCCATCTAAGGTTGCAAATAGCACATTGTAAGTTGAGGGAGGTTCATAATCATGTCTGAAACCTTCTTTGATATACTGAGTTGTTAACAGTGGCTTTGGACAAGATTTGAGGGAGAAACCAACTATGCTTTAAAGTGTTCATTTAAAAGGCTTTAATTAAAGGAAAGTCTTTGTATTTACTTGAGCTAATTTAACTTCAGGACTTTAACAAATTACTAGCCCTTAACCTCTTAAAAATTGTCTTTCATTTCACATGAAAGTTTAAGATGGCCTTTATGTTGGATTGGTATACTTGTGTGAAGACTTAACAGCAAGGTACTGTACATTTCTAAATGTTTACTTCTTAATTTTGCTGGAAGAAATATACTACTCAATTGATTATTTTTAAAGCAAAGTAAAACAATTTATTTTGACAAGCGACACTGTATTTTCCCAGTTTTCTGGTGGCAAAGATTAGGCTTAACATCACTAATCATGAGAGAAATGCAAATCAAAACCAAAACAAGACACTATCCTACACCAGTCAGAATAGCTACTATTAAAAAATCAAAAAACAACAGATCTTGGGACGCTGTGGAGAAAAGGGAACATTAATACATAATTGGTGTGAATGTAAATTAGTTCAGCCACTGTTGAAAGCTGTTTGGAAATTTCACAAAGAATTTAAAATAGAATTACCTTTCAAGCCAACAATTCCATTACTGGTATATGACCCAAAGAAAGTCAGTTATTCTACCAAAAAGACATATGCACTTGCATGTTCATCGCAGCACTATTCAGAATAGCAAAGACATGGAGTCAGCCTAGGTGCCCATCAACAGTGGATTGGATCAATAAAATGTGGTACATCCACACAGTATTATTAGGCCATTCTTGCATTGCTATGAAGAAATACCTGAGACTGGGTAATTTATAAGGAAAAGAGATTTAATTGGCTCACAGCTCTGCAGGCTGTACAGGAAGCATGGTGACGGCATCTGCATGGTGCTTGTGGAGTCTCCAGGGAGCTTTTACTCATGATGGAAGGCAAAGAGGGAGTAGGCCCATCACATGGCCAGAGCAGGAGCAAGAGAGAATGGGAGTGGGGTTAAGTACCACACACCCTTACACAACCAGATCTTGAAAGAATTCGCTATCACAAGGACGGTATCAGGCCATGAGAGATCCACCCCCATGACCCAAACACCTCCTACCAGGCCCCACCTCCAACACTGAGGATTACATTTCACCATGAGATTTATAGGGGCCACCTTCCAAACCATTTCACACACCATGGAATACTATGCAGCCATAAAAATAACAAAATCATGTCCTTTGAAGCAACATGGATGTAGCTGAAGGCCATTATCCTAAGTAAATTAATGCAGGAATACAAATCGAAATACCACATGATCTCACTTATAAGTGGGAGCTAAACATTGGGTACTTATGGACATAAAAATGGAAAGAATAAACATTGGGACTACTAGAGGGGAGAAGGAGGAAGGCATGGTTTGATGAACTAACTATTGGATACTATGCTCATGTATTAATCTGTTCTCACACTGTTGTATAGAACTACCTGAGACTGGGTAATTTATAAAGAAAAGAGGTTTAACTGACTCACAGTTCCACAGGCTGTACAGGAAGCATGGCTGGGAGGCTTCAGGAAACTTATAATCATGGCAGAAGGTGAAGGGGGAAGCAAGGCACGTTCTACCATGGCAGCAGGAGACCAAGTGAGCCAGGGGGGATGTGCCATATGTTTAAACCATCAGATCTCATGAGAACTCACTTACTGTCTAAGAACAGCAAGGGGAAAATCTGCCCTCATGAGATAATCACCTCCCACCAGGTCATTTCCGCTGCATTGGGAATTACAATTCAACATGAGATTTGGGTGGGGACACAGAGTCAAAACATACCAAATCAGCATCTGGATGATGGAATCATTCATACCCCAAAACTCAGCATTATGAGATATACCCATGTAACAAACTGGCACATGTACCCCTGAATGTAAAATACAAGTTAAAATTATCTTCAAAATAAATTAACTAATGAATAAATAAATATGATTAAATGAAATTAAAATTTTGAATTAAAAAAAAATTTGAGAATGATTTCAGCTTGACAGTTATGTAAGTTACGTAAATGGGAACAGTGAGTTCTGTAGGGTTCAGATCAATTGCACTATCTGTACTAAGTTGATGTCCAGTTGTTTGGATGAAAAGAAAAGAGGAGAAACATATAGATCTAACAGGAAAAAAGTGGACAAGTTTTTATGATAGCAAAAAGAAGAATGGAGGAAATAGTACTGAGGTTACAGTGATTGATAGATATTAATAGACGACTAAGTCAAAAGCCACCGGTTGCAGAAAATATTGATTAATTTTGTTTTATTCCAGTCAGACAACAACATCCTATAACCTGCCTCTAGAGAAAACCCTTTTAGCCCTGTAATTATCTTTATTCCAAGCACCATTCCATCCATTAAGTAGTGTATAGGGTGATTAATAAGTGAATTATTCACAGAATTAGGACAGAATTTTTTAGTATTTCAGGATATTAATCTATAGTCAATGAACTAAAATAAAATTTGACTAGAGGTGTGATC
>NC_000022.11:11016724-11068987 GCF_000001405.40 Homo sapiens
GATCATGAAGAATGATATTTTTAATGTATTGCTTAAAGGTTTGCTAGCATTTTGTTGAGGATTTTTGCATCAATATTAATTGGAGATATTGTAGTTTTCTTTTTTTAAAGTGTCTTTGATTTTGGTATAAAGGTAATTCTGGTGTTATAGAATGAGTTTGGAAGTATTCCCCATCTGTATTTTGTGGAATAGTTTCAGTAGGATTGGTGTTAGTTCTTTAAATATTTGTTAGAATTCAGTAGTGAAGCCATAGAATATTGGGGCTTTTCTTTTCTGGGAGACTTTTTATTACAGCTTTGTTCTCATTATTTGTTATTGGTCTGTTCATGTTTTGTATTTCTTTGTGTTTCAATTTTGGTGTGTTTCTTGGCCCTAGTCTGGTCCACTCAGACCTGCTCCATGCTCACCATCAGGCAGCTGGTGGTCCTTTTTGAGGAGTGAGTGCAGCAGGGACCAGTGGTTGGGCTGAAGCCCCTTCACCTCATGCGGACTCTCCAATACTCATTGAACTTCATGGTGAGGGACAGAGGACCCACCCTGGCTCTCAGCGGGAGAGCAGGGAATTCTTGTTCAAGGAAGCCCCTGGGGCAGCCGCAGGAGGCAGCCCTTGGGAAAAAGCGCCCAAGGCCCCCCTCAACCGGCCATCCTGCCTCCTCTGCAGGACCTTCTCTTCCCCTCTTTCCCTCCCTCCTGAGGTGAAAAGGAGGGGAGGAGACCACGGAGCCCTCTGTGTCAGGGAAACCTGGCCCTTCCTTTTGAGCGTTCAGGGGACTCGCATGGGCCTTGCCCCTTCTCCAGGACCTGGAAGCTTCTCTCCCTGAAGAGCCCTGAGTTCCAGTCTCAAGTGTCTCATTCCCCATTGCCTCCTGCTTCTCCTTTCATCCCCCCCACCACCACCTGGGGCTCACACTCCCTGCCTTTGGGCTTCAAATGTTGTACTACGTGCTTGACCCACTAGCCTGCTTAATCTTCAAAATCACTCTATCAAAAAGACATTTTAGGCTGGGCATTGTGGCTGAAGCCTGTAATCCCAGCACTTTGGGAGACCCAGATGGGCTGATTACTTGAGTGTATGAGTTACAGACCAGCCTGGGAAACATAACAAGATCCTGTCTCTACAAAAATAGAAAAAAATTAGTGGAGTGCTGTGGCACATGTCTGTAATCCCAACTACTTGGGAGGCTGAGGTGGGAAGATTGCTTGAGCCTGGGATGTCGAGGCTGCAGTGAGCTGAGATCACGTCACTGCACTCCAGCCTGGGTAACAGACTGAGACCCTGTCTCAAAATAAAAATAAAAATAATTTAAAAAGCGAAATTGCCAAAATCATTCATTTAACCAATAAGATGAGCACCTACCTATCAGGGACAATAAAAGTTTAAAGGTGCCAACAATTATGAAGGCAGTATTGAATTTACTTGAAATATGAAGAACACCACATTGGGTGAATTTAGATAGGAAGGCCAAGGAGATATTCCTAGGAATATCATTATATATGGAAAACACTGAAAAAAGACACTGCAGTGTTTGAGAAAATAATGGCCATAGAAAGAGATTTCATGGACCTTCCAGCTTATGAAAAAATCAACTGAAATTGCTCGACATTAGGTTAGAACATTAAAAAGGAAAATAAGCCATTATAGAAGGAGAGAATTGGAATAGGGGACAGGAATGACCCATTTCCCAGTCTCTGCCTAGAACAGGGCTGGGGAAAAATCTGTGGTCATCACATTCACCATTGCATAAACACATATTCTTTCTATATGTCAGCAAGGAGCAAGTGCTACCAAGACAAGGCAAGGAAAAGGAATAAAGAATATTGCTGGGTGCTTTTCTGTAGGGTGATCAGGAAAGGCCTCACTGAAAAAGAGACATTAGAGCAGAGCAAGTGACAGAGAGAGAGTCATAGAGAGATCTGTGGGAAGAGCATTCCACGTGAGGGCAACAGACACTGCAAAGGCCCTGAGGCAGGGAGTGCTTGGCATGTCTGAGGAGCCAGAAAAAGGCCAGTGGGGCTGGAATGGAGTGAGTGAGAAGTAATAGGTGCAGAACACACATGGCCTTAGAGATCATGGCTCTAGGCGTTTTGTTTTATTTTCCAATTTTTAAAATTGTGTTAAAATACACATAACATAAGCGTCTGGGATCCCGCAGGATGCTGGCCCCAAACAGGCCAATTTGTCCTGTCTCTGTGGGATTTGTTGGTTCTAGAAGATCAGATTTGGTCTGGGTCACCCAAATCTGTCTGTACCCCAACCTCCACTGTCTGCTCTTACCTCCCTAGGTGTTGGCTCAGGTACTGGGCAAACTTTACCAGGAATATATACATTGTGTGGAATTTCTTAGCTTCCATTTCAACAAAGTTGAAACTTCGGGGAAATGATTTGCCAAGGGTTACAACTTGGGGAAAATGATGATAGTTTGCTTTACAAATTGCTCTAGTTAACCAATAAAAGTATGGCATGCCTACCCAGGTACAGTGGAATTCGAGGTAAACAGCAGAACAGATGCATGCTCAGGTACATTTGAGTTGGAGATAAACAGCAAAACAGATGCGTGCTCAGGTACACTTGAATTCGAGGTGAACAGCAGTATGCATACGTGCCCAGCTACACTTGAATTCGAGATAAACAGCAGAAAAGATGCGTGCCCATGTACACTTGAATTTGAGATAAACAGCAGTATGGATGCATGCTCAGGTACACTTGAATTCAAGGTGAACGGCAGCACGATGTGTGCCCAGCTACACTTGAGTTCGAGGTAAACATCAGCACGATGCATGCCCAGATACACTTGAATTCGAGATAAACAGCAGAACAGATGCGTGCTCAGGTACACTTGATTTCAAGGTGAACAGCAGCACGAGGCATGCCCAGATAACACTTGAATTCGAGATAAACAGGAGAACAGATGTGTGCTCAGCTACACTTGAATTCGAGGTGAACAGCAGTATGCATGCATGCCCAGATACACTTGAATTCAAAGTAAACAGCAGCCCAGGTACGCTTGAATTCAAGGTTAACAGCTGTATGCATGTGTGCCCAGCTACACTTGAATTTGAGATCAACAGCAATATTGAATTTTCTACCAAAAATGCATATGCTCTGTCTCTGAATAAATGTGCAAGAAATGAAAGTTCTACATGCCCAACAACTCTTTGCTTCCATTTCCTTACGGTCATGAAGCCACACCTGCCTGGAGCTACTAATCTATTTCCTGAGCATCAGAACCCTCTTGCTCATTTGGGGAATCCATCTCCCTGCAGTTGACCTGTGGACCTCCAGCATCCCTGGGCAGCCTGAGGACCCTAAACCCTGTAGTTCAGTTTATGACACGCAGGCTTGGAGGAATTTCCCTCCATAAGGCTGCTGTGAACTCCCACGCCAGGAGAAATTAAAATTTGTAATACAGCGGAGATCTCTGAATGAGCTTTTCTCCCTGATACATGTCAGCGAACTCAGTGTGTCTTTGGAAATCCGGAAACCTCCTTTTCTCAGTTCAGGCTGCCTGCATCATGCTGGTTTGCTTCCTGCAACAAAACAGATCATCCAGACACCTCTCTGTTTTCCTTCGGATATTCCCCACACTACCACGCCATTCGTGGGCAGGACCTCAGTGCCTGAGGTCAGAATAGAGACACCTCTGACATCCCATGGCTGTACCCACAAATAACCCTTCCTCGGCAGTCGCTGAAGCCACACCTCTACACAGCTGTCTGTTGTCTTACAGTGGCATAAGCATAAAACAGATTTTTTTTTGACATGTATTATAGCACCTGCTGGCTTTATTTCCCTCCCTTATACCATAATATTGCTTGTTGATTTGTATCAACGGATTTGCATCTTCTGCCCGCCACACACACACACAGACACATCCACCCCACTCCCCCCACTAGTGACTAGGTACACTTGAATTCGAAGTAAATAGCACACACAAGAGATATGTCCAGCACGTGATTCTCACAGGCCTGATTTCACAGCGGTGCTGGAGGCAAACCTCGCAGCCTCTAGCCTGTGCAGACCGCATCATGACAAATTGTATAAATATGTGCAAATTGTCCAGATGATGTCATGTGTGCCCCAGCCTGCTCTCCAAGTGGGCAGAACGCTTCAGGGAAGGTCAGGGCAGGCCTTGCTCTGAATTCAATTGAGGTAATTGCATTCAATTTGCTTAAATGTATCACAGAGAAAAGCCCTGTCTGTTGATCTCAATCGTATTAAGAAGTTTATTTTCCGCCAGGGCCGGACTCCACGGCCTCACGGAGAGGAAGCCTTCTCTCGGTTATGTCCTTCTTTCTCCTGCTTGATTCCAGGTCCTGGGGGCAGCCCTGGGAATGCCAGAGAGGGCCCCCCGCCCCCGCCACAAGAAATACCTTATGGCTCTCTCCCTAGCCACCTGCAGGGCTCGGAATGGCCGCAAATAAGCATGAGGATTTCTGTGCTTAGGGAATAGTTTGTCAGCTCTTTGCAGGTGTGATTTGACGATGCCAGTGAGTGAACAGAGCCTGAGGTTTCACCCCAAAAGATCGTTCTGTGGTTTGCCTACCATGATTCAACAGCCCAGGATCTGCTCGGGCACAGACAACCTGAAGTGTAAAGAGGCTCCTGAGAGCCGGGTCCCAGCTCGGACCCAGACACCCCCTCTGCACCGACCCCACGAGCCCCCAAAAGTCATCTCTACCAGAGGTTCTCCTCATTTCTGAGAAGAGGGAAGCAGGGCCCCTGCGTTTTGAGGTTGCCTCTGGCTCCAACGCGGTGACACGCAATGCCAGCCTCATGAGGGTGAGAGTCCTCTGAATGGCCCACGCTCTCTTGTGACAATGACACTTGTCTGTGAAGGAGAAGGCCAAGCTGACTCACACGCTGAGTGCCCCAAGGATGAAGGGGGTCCCCGGAGTGGGCACCGCACCTCCCTCTTTGCAGACAAGGAGGGGGCGGCTCTGAGACCCACAGGGATATACCAGAGAGTGCGTGTTAGGCAGAACCGAACATCCCCAGGAAGGGAGGGAAAAGCAGGTGGCTGATATCTGCAGGGTCCTCTTGTACCTGAAACTCCAAAACTTTACACTATTTTCAGAATAACAGCAGCAGCAGATACAAAAGAACTCATGAGGGTTATGTCTTATAAAATAACAGAAAATATCTTAGGCAGACTGGGGAGTTTCTGTCTATCTATTACCCATCTATCATCTATCGACCTATTGATCTATTTATATATAATCTATCTAACATCTATCATCTATCTATCAATCATCTATCATCTACTATATATCCATCATCTATCATCCATCCATCCATCTATCCATCTATATATGTATTTATCTATTGAATCTATAATCTATGTATCAATTGTATATCTACCTATCATCTATCCCTGTAGCTATCTATCGACTTACCTATCTACCTATCTATCCATCTAATGTATTATGTAATCTATGTATTTATCTATTGAATCTATAATCTATGTATCAATTATCTATCTACCTATCATCTATCCCTGTAGCTATCTCTCTATCCAGCTATCTATCTATACATCTATCTATCCATCCATCTAATGTATTATCTATCTATGTATTTATCTATTGAATCTATAACCTATGTATCAACTATCTACCTATCATCTATCTGTCTGGCTAGCTAGCTGTCTATCTACCTATCATCTCTCTACTATCTATCATCTACTATATATCCATCATCTATCATCCATCCATCTATGCATCCATCCATCTATCCATCTATATATGTATTTATCTATTGAATCTATAACGTATGTATCAATTATCTACCTATCATCTATCCCTGTAGCTATCAACTTACCTATCTACCTATCTAATGTATTATCTAATCTATGTATTTCTCTATTGAATCTATAATCTATGTATCAATTATCTACTTATCATCTAACTGTTTGGCTAGCTAGCCGTCTATCTACCTATCATCTCTCTACTATCATCTACTATATATCCATCATGTATCTATCATCCATCCATCTATGCATCCATCCATCTATCCATGTATCTATATATGTATTTATCTATTGAATCTATAATCTGTGTATCAATTATCTATCTACCTATCATCTATCCCAGTAGCTATCTATCAACTTACCTACCTATCTATCTAATGTATTATCTAATCTATGTATTTATCTATTGAATCTATAATCTATGTATCAATTATCTACCTATCATCTATCTGTCTGGCTAGCTAGCCATCTATCTACCTATCATCTCTCTACTATCTATCTATCATCTACTATATATCCATCCTCTATCATCCATCCATCAATCTATCCATCTATCTATATATGTATTTATGTATTGAATCTATAACCTATGTATCAATTATCTACCTATCACCTATCCCTGTAGCTATCTACCTACCTACCTATTGATCTATCTATCCATCTAATGTATTATCTATTTATCTATTGAATCTATAATCTATGTATCAATTATCTACCTATCATCTATCCGTCTAGCTAGCTGTCTATCTACCTATCATCTCCCTAGTATCTATCGTCTACTATATATCCATCATCTATCTATTATCCATCCATCTATCCATCTATCTATATATGCACTTATCTATTGAATCTGTAACCTATGTATCAATTATCTATCTACCTATCATCTATCCCTGTAGCCATCTATCCACCTATCTATCTAATGCATTATCTGTTGAATCTATAATCTATGTATCACTTATCTACCTATCATCTCTCCATCTAGCTAGCTAGCTGTCTATCCACCTACCATCTCTCTACTATCTATAGTCTACTATATATCCATCATCTATCTATTATCCATCCATCTATCCATCTATCTATATATGTATTTATCTATTGAATCTATAATCTATGTATCAATTATCCCTCTACCTATCATCTATCCGCCTAGCTAGCTAGCTGTCTATCTATCTACCTATCAGCTCTCTACTATTTATCATCTACTATATATCCATCCTCTATTATCCATCCATTTATCTATATATTTATGTATCAAATCTATAATCTATGTATCAGTTGTCTACCTATCATCTATCCCTGTATCTATTTGCCTATCATCCCTCCACTATCTGCCTATCTAGCTCTCTATCATCTATGCATCTATCCAGTTATCTCTCTATATATCTGTCATATATTTATCTACCTATCTCTATCATTTATGTAATTTAACTCACCTATTCCTATGTATTAATAATATATCTGTTATCTATCTATCATTTATATATTTACCTAGGTCTATCATTTAATTGTCCTAATTTATGTCTTTTCTATTAATTATATACCTACCATCTATCTCGTTCTAACAGTTATCTATTTCTATCTAGTTTAACCTATTTAGTTTATTTCTTTCCATCTGTAATAGAATATGTCTATTGTCTATCTATATATCCTTTTTTGCTTTTTTTGAGACAGTATTATTCTGCCACCCAAGCTGGAATGCAGTGGCACGATCTCAGCTCACTGCAACCTCCACCTCCCGGGTTCAAGTGATTCTCTTGCCTCAGCCTCCCGAGTAGCTGGGACTACAGGCCCAGTCAATTTTTTACAGACCACCACGCCCAGCCAATTTTTGTATTTTTAGTAGAGACGGGTTTTCATCATGTTGGCCAGGCTTGTCTCAAACTCCTGACCTCAGGTGATCTGCCCGCCTCAGCCTCCCAAAGTGCTGGGATTAGTGGCGTGAGCCACCGCGCCCAGTCTGTCTATATACCTTTCTCTCTCTCTCTCTCCACACACACACGCACACACATAATTGTTTTTGTAAGCATCTGGAGAATACGTCTAATCATCTAATCTCCCATTTCAATTTGGGATCCATTACTTCCACAGTCAACACTATCCAATTAGCAATAGCCACTTAAACACTTCAGGCATCTTGGAATGTCTGTTTTTCTAAGCCAAGATCTAAAACCTTGGATGTCAGATTTTCCAGATCTCCTGTTTTGGGGACTGGTGTGAAAACGTCATTCGATGACAGGCCGAACCAGGTGGCCCCTGCCTTAACATCAAACGCCATCAAACTCTCCGAACACGCTTCTGGCTCCAGGCAGGTGCCGTTTTTCTCCCCACAGAAAGGTCAGCTAGAGTCACCCTTAAAATAATGCACTTGTATATTTTTTATTGTGTGGACAAGAAATTGGGAACAGGTTCAGGCTGCTCAGAAAAACGTGTTAAGTTTATTTTTGAACAGAGGTTTATTAAAAAAAAAAAAAAAGCCAAGGAAAGTCATGCATGGTTTTGAGCTTCTGCCTCGCAGTACCTGGTAGATGCTGGTGTTGCAAAGTGGACACAGCAATTTGATCCCTTCCCTGGGTCACCAGGGAAACCTGTGCCCCACACTTGTCTCAGCTGCAGATGTGTAAAAGCGGCTGAGATGGTTTCTTCTAGAAGTGAGTTAAAAAGGACTGTAAGGGGCCGGGTGCGGTGGCTCATGCCTGTAATCCCAGCCCTTTGGGAGGCCGAGGCGGACGGATCACAAGGTCAGGAGATAGAGACCATCCTGGCTAACACGGTGAAACCGCATCTCTACTAAAATACAAAAAAAAAAAAAAAATTAGCCGGGCGTGGTGGCGGGCACCTATAGTCCCAGCTACTCAGGAGGCTGAGGCAGGAGAATGGAGTGAACCCGGGAGGCGGAGGTTGCAGTCAGCCAAGATCGCGCCACTGCACTCCAGCCTGGGCGACAGAGTGAGACTCCGTCTCAAAAAAAGGAATTAAAAAGAAGGAAAAAAAAGGGCGACACAGTGGCTCACGCCTGTAATGCCAGCACTTTGGGAGGCCGAGGCGGGCAGATCATGAGGTCAGGAGATCGAGACCATCCTGACTAACACAGTGAAACCCTGTCTCTACTAAAATACAAAAAAACATTAGGCGGGCGTGGTCGTGGGAGCCTGTAGTCCCAGCTATTCAGGAGGCTGAGGCAGGAGAATGGCATGAACCCAGGAGGTGGAGGTTGCAGTGAGCCGAGATCGCGCCACTGCACTCCAGCCTGGGCGACAGAGCAAGACTCCATCTCACAAAAAAAAAAAAAAAAAAGGACTGTAAAACCACTTGTCCTAACCATGCTGGTTTGTGGATCTTGTTGATCCCTGGGAGACCCAGTGTGGGGCTGTGACTCACAAACTTCCCTAATGTGGGGCCTTGAGTGTATAATCAACACTCTCGCGTCTGAAGTTAACTGGGATGCTGGTTTCCTGCAGACATCTTCCAGGGAGAAAAAGCCGAGATGCTGCTGGCTGCATGGGTCCCCCATGGAGTCACTTAAGAAAAGCAAAGAGGCCAGGTGCGGTGACTCACACCTGTCATCCCAGCATTTTGGGAGGCTGAGGCGGGCATATCACCAGAGGTCAGAAGTTCAAGACCAGCCTGACCAAGGTGGTGAAACCCGTCTCTACTAAAAATACAAAAATTAGCCGGGCGTGGTAGTGGGGGCTTGTAGTCCCAGCTACTCAGGAGGCTGAGGCAGGAGACTAGCTTGAACCTGGGAGGCGGAGGTTGCAGTGAGCCGAGATCATGCCACTGCACTCCAGCCTGGGCAACAGAGTGAGACTTTGTCTCAAAAAAAAAATAAATACATACATAAAAAATAAATAAAAATTAAAATAAAAAAAGAGGAGCTGCACAGTGGCTCAGGACTGTAATCCCAGGACTTTGGGAGGCAGAGGCAGGCAGATTGCCTGAGCTCAGAAGTTCAAGACCAGCCTGACCAACGTGGTGAAACCCTGTCTCTACTAAAAATACAAAAATTAGCCGGGCGTAGTGGCAAGTGCCTGTAATCCTAGCTACTGGGAGGCTGAGGCAGGAGAATTGCTTGAACCCAGGAGGTGGAGGTTGCAGTGAGCCGAGATCATGCCAATGCACTCAAGCCTGGGCAACAGAGCAAGACTTCGTCTCAAAATAATAATAATAAATAAATACATAAAAAATAAATAAAAATTAAATTAAAACTAAAAAAAAAGAGGGGCAGCACAGTGGCTCAGGCCTGTAATCCCAGGACTTTGGGAGTCGGAGGAAGTAAGATTGCCTGAGCTCATGAGTTTGAGACCAGCCTGGGCAACATGATGAACCCCCTGTCTCTATAAAAAGTACAAAAGTGAGCTGGGCATGGTGGTGCATGACTGTAGTCCTAGCTACCTGGGAGGCTGAGGTGGGAAGATCGTTTGAGCCCAGTAGACAGAGGTTGTAGTAAGCTGAGATGATACCACTTCACTCCAGCCTGGGTGATATAGCCAGACCTTGTGTCAAAAAAATAAAAAACAAAAACAAAATAACATAACATAACGTGAATTAAAAAAGGGGTGATCAGGCCATGGTGGCATCTTTCTCATGAATGGGCTTAAGGTCCTTAGGAAAGAGGCTTCCTGGCCGGACACGGTGGCTCATGCCTGTAATCCCAGCATTTTGGGAGGCCGAGGTGGGTGGATCATGAGGTCAGGGGTTCAAGATCAGCCTGGCCAACATGGTGAAACCCCGTCTCTGCTAAAAATACAAAAATTAGCCGGATGTGGTGGCAGGCACCTGTAATCCCAGCTACTCAGGAGGCTGAGGCAGAAGAATTGTTTCAACCTGTGAGGTGGAGGTTGCAGTGAGCCGAGGTCACACCGCTGTGCTCCAGCCTGGGCGATAGAGCAAGACTCCTTCTCGAAAAAAAGAGAGAAAGAAAGAAAGAAAAAGAAAGAAAGAGAGAGAGAGAGAAAGAAAGAAAGAAAGAAAGAAAGAAAGACAGTAAGAGACAGGCTTCCTGTAACATTCAGTTCCCTTGGTCTTCCACCTTTACCATGTAAGGACAAGGTGTGTCTTCCTTCTGGAAGATTTAGCAGGAAGGTGCCATCTTGGAGGCAGAGAATAGCACTCATCAGATATAGAATCTGCTGGTGCCTTGGTCTTCATGTAAGGACAAGGTGTTTCTTCCTTCTGGAATATTCATCAGGAAGGCACCATCGTGGGGGCAAAGAACAGCCCTCATCAGATATGGAATCTGCTGGTGCCTTGGTCTTCATGTAAAGACAAGGTGTTTCTTCCTTCTGGAAGATTCATCAGGAAGGTGCCATCTTGGAGGCAAAGAACAGCCCTCATCAGATATGGAATCTTCTGGTGCCTTGGTCTTCATCTAAGGACAAGGGGTTTCTTCCTTCTGGAAGATTCAGCAGGAATGTGCCATCTTGGAGTCAAAGAACAGCCCTCATCAGATATGGAATCTGCTGGTGCCTCCATCTTGGACTTCTCCTCCTTCAGAACCAGGAGTAAATACATCTCTGCTCTGTATAAACCACACAGTCTTAGGGACTCTGTTCTAGCAGTGAAAACAAATCCAGGCAGATGCAGATACATGATTTACGTGGACTCAATGGCTAATAGAGATGACGTTCACCTGGAAACTCTACAGATGGGACCTTGACTAGCTAAGTCTAGGCTGACTGGAGAGTTCCTATCTGTCTATTACCTATCTATCATCTATCAATCAATTTATCTATCTACTATCTATCTATGTATCTATATATCTAACATCTATCATCTTTCTATCAATCATCTATCATCTATATATCAATCATCTATCATTTATCTATATATTCATCTATCATCTACCTATCATCAATCTATCATCTATGTATCTAACATCTATCATCTTTCTATCAATCATCTATCAATCATCTATCAACTATCAATCATCTATCATCTATCTATATATTCATCATCTATATCTATCAATCAATCATCTATGTATCTATCTATCCACCTACCTATCTATCAATAAATATTGATAGATAGGTAGGTGGATAGATAAACAGCCCTGATGAGGGCTCTCCTTTGCCTCCAAGATGGCGCCTTCCTGATGAATCTTCCAGAAGAAACACCTTGTCTTTACATGAAGACCACCTATCTATCTATGTCTGTGTCTATCCATTCATCCATCTATCCATTCATCTATCTAATGTATTCTCTGTGTATTTATCTATTAAATCTATAATCTATGTATCAATTATCTATCTGTCATCTATCTATCTGTCTAGCTAGCTGTCTATCTGCCTATCCTCTCTCTACTACCAGGAGTTCATCGGTGGGTCTTGATCCTCTCACTTGGTAAGTATCATCACAGCTTAGAATCTCACGTCTTCACCATCACCTCCTCTCTGTCCTATATAATTAGTTCCAAGGGTCTTAATTAGGCACTTATGTAACCCAGCACTGCTTATTGCAAAAGTTGAATCTCCAATGAAAGGTTCTTAGCCTCCATGGAGATCCTGAGATTCTCTGCTTGGCTGTTCCCAACTTCCATGTCAACCTGGGGCTTGGGGCAACCCCTTCTCCATCTGGCATCTTGCCTCCTCCTTGGTGGCCTGGGCCAAGACTCTGTTCTCCCTGCCTGCCCGAGTCTCCATAAGCAAGGTTGCACTGCTCATTTAGATCTCAGATCTGTGGAGCTGACTGAGTTTCTGCATGCCTTAGAAGATGAGCTTTGAGGCTGGGCGCCGGTGCCTTACATCTGTAATCCCAGCACTTTGGGAGGCCGAAGCAGGTGGATCGTCTGAGGTCAGGAGTTCAACACCAGCCTGGCAACATGGTGAAACCCCATCTTTACTAAAGATACAAAAAATTAGCCGGGGGTGGTGGCAGGTGCCTGTAATCTCAGCTACTCGGGAGGCTGAGGCAGGAGAACTGGTTGAACCCGGGAGGCGGAGCTTGCAGTGAGCTGAGATCATGCCATTGCACTCCAGCCTGGGCGACAGAGCGAGTCTCCATCTCAAAAAAAAAAAAAAAAAAAAGAAGAAGAAGATGAGCTTTGAAGGATTCATGGAAAACTGTAAAAGCTGCAATGCTTGATCGCATTTACAGATGCTTTTCCTTTGCAGGCTTAACCTTTGTTTGGGTAAACACGCTAATTGTTTTAAACATGATTTGAAAAGTCTGTTTTGCTTCACGAATGTTGAGGAATGAATCCAAGGGCTGAGGTTTGCCAAACTCCTCAGGAAACCATCGACCCTGGGTTATCGCTGTGACAGCTTGGAATCCCAGAACCCACAGGAACTCCGAGCACCTGTCACCCTCCTCACCGGTGCCCATTGAGGAGGGTGGCAAGGTGCTCCAATGACCATCACAGGTGGCATCTCACTTTCATCTTAGTGGGCTGCCGAGGGTAGTGGCATCCTTGTAAATCCTAGCACTTTCTATGAAACACAAAAAGTTAAGAGTTTGGGGACTGGGGACAACATGGCTGAACAACTCTTAATTTTATGTATATATGTATGCATGTATTGGAGATGGAGTCTCACTCTGTCTCCCAGGCTGGAGTGCAGTGGCACAATCTCGGCTCACTGCAACCTCTGCCTCCCAGGTTCAGGTGATTCTCATGCCTTAACCTCCTGAGTAGCTGTGACTACAGGCACCCACCACCATGCCTTGCTAATTTTGGTATTTTTAGTAGAGACAGGTTTTCACCGTGTTGGTCAGCCTCGTCTCGAACTCCTGACCCCAGGTGATATGCCCGCCTTGGCCTCCCAAAGTGTTGGGATGACAGGTGTGAGCCACTGTGCTCGGCCAACCCTTGAATTTAGGCTCAGAAGTTGCCATTTCCTCTGTTTTGCAACTTATTCTCTGAATACTCACTGAAAAATCACCCACCTTCTAGAAAGTTCTGATGTCTCTTCTGTAAAATGCCTGCCTCTCATTGTCTGAGGATCAAGCTGCATTTTAAAACAAAAGCACTATGTAAAAATTGCATATTTCTCTCCATAAAATAAAGGTAGAAGGATCACTGGAGCCCAGGAGTTTGAGACCAGCCTGGGCAATACAGTGAGGCCCCATCTCTCCAAATATTTTTTTCTTTTTTTTGAGACGGAGTCTTGCTCTGTCGCCCAGGCTGGAGGGCAGTGGTGTGATCTCAGCTCACTGCAAGCTCCACCTTCTGGGTTTATGCCATTCTCCTGCCTCAGCCTCCCCAGTAGCTGGGACTACAGCTGTCCACCACCACACCCGGCTAATTGTTTGTATTTTTAGGAGAGACGGGGTTCCACCGTGTTAGCCAAGATGGTCTCGAACTCCTGACCCCGTGATCCACCTGCCTCGGTCTCCCAAACTGCTGTGATTACAGGCATGAGCCACTGTGCCCGGCCCCGATTTTTTTCTTAATGAATAGGACATGGTGGTGTGTTTCTGTGGTCCCAGCCACTTGGGAGGCTGAGATGAGAGGATTGCTTGAGCCCAGGAGTTTGAGACCAGCCTGGGCAACATAGCAAGACCCCATCTCTGCAAATTCTTTTAAAATTAATGGTGCATGGTGGTGCTCTGGGTTTGAGACCAGCCTGGGCAAGATAGCAAGACCCCATCTCTACAAATTTTTTTTTTTAATTAATGGGGCATGGTGGTGCTCTGGGCAACATAGTGAGACCCCCTCTCTCCAAAACATGTTTAAAAATTAACAGGGCATGGTGGCAAGCTCCTGTGGTCCCAGCTACTTGGGAGGCTGATGTGGGAGGATGGCTTGAGTCCAGCAGCGTGAGGTTGCAGTGAGCTATGATTGCTCCATTGCACTCCAGTCTGGGTGACGGAGCAAGATTGTCTCTCAAGAAAAGAAAGAGAGAAACAGCTGTGGACAAAGGCAGGATGCCCCTCTGCAAAGACAAAGTCAAGGGATGGGGTCACGGTGAGGCAGATGGAGAGGAAGACAGGAGAGATCCTTCCCACTGTGGGTGGCTGGTGCTTCCTCCTCTCCTCCCTCCCTGACTCCAGCTCCCCACCTCCCTGATTTTTGGAGAACTCGACAATGAGTTGCCAAAATGACATCTTCCTCAACTCTGGCACTGACCTTCCGCAAAACCACCAGTGTCATCCCTTTTCTTCCAAAAGATGCCCTGGAATTGGAACAGAGAGAAAATATCTTCCAGGAGAGCTGTCTCTCTCTGTGTCTCTCTCCCCCCTCTCTCTCCCCTGTCTCTCTCTCTCCGCTCTCTCTCCTCTGTCTCTCTCTCTCCCCTCTCCCGTCTCTCTCTCCCCTCTCTCTCTCTCCCCTGTCTCTCTCTCTCTCTGTCTCTCTCTCTCTCCCTGTCTCTGTCTCTCTCCTCCCTCTCTCCTGTCTCTCTCTCCCCTGTCTCTCTGTCTCTGTGTCTCTCTCTCTCCCCTCCCTCTCCCGTCTCTCTCTCCCCTCCCTCTCCCGTCTCTCTCTCTCCCCCCTCTGTCTCTCTCCCGTCTCTCTCTCTCCCCCCTCTCCCCTCTGTCTCTTTCTCTCCCCCCTCCCCTCTCTTTCTCTCTCTCTCTCCCCTCTCTTTCCCCGTCTCTCTCTCTCCCCTCTCTCTCCCCATCTCTCTCTCTCTCCCCTCTCTGTCTCTCTCTCTCTCTCTCTTCCCTGTCTCTCACTCTCTCCCCCCCCTCCCCTGTCTCTCTGTCTCTCTCTCTCTCTCCAACCAGAGCAGCTGTGGGACCGCCCATCACAAGAGGCCACATAACTTCCCTTCATCAGTTTCCAGCAATCAGCTGGGAAAATTGTCCCATATGTGGGAGTGCCAAGTGGGGTGCAGGGTTAGGGCTGGGACACAGGCCACAGCGAGGTTACTGTCTGGCTGCAATTACGTGCACGCTGCGGGAATCCGGGGGTGCCTTGGGGAGCTGTTGCACTCCGGTTCTTTATAATTGCATGCTCGGAAATTACTCACCCTGCAACGTCTTGGGGCCTTCCCGGTTCAGCATCTGCCCACGTGTTCCCCGAGGAGGAACAGCCTAGTCTTGGCGGGTTTGGAGCATCTCCACTGTGTTTATTAATTATTTATTGTTATTTATTTATTTTTGAGACAGAGACTCATTCTCTTGCCCAGGCTGTAGTGCAGTGACGCGATCTCGGCTCACTGCAACCTCCACCTCCCAGGTTCAAGCCATTCTCCTGCCTCAGCCTCCCAAGTAGCTGGGACTACAGGCACGTGCCACCACACCAAGCTAATTTTTTGTATTTTTTTTTTTAGTGGAGATGGGGTTTCACCATGTTAGCCAGGATGGTCTCGATCTCCTGAACTTGTGATCCATCTGCCTCGGCCTCCCAAAGTGCTGGGATTACAGGAGTGAGCCACCATGCCTGGCCTATTTATTCATTTTTGAGACGGAGTCTCACTTTCTCGCCCAGGCTGGAGTGCAGTGGCACGATCTCGGCTCAGTGCAAGCTCCGCCTCCTGGGTTCAAGCAATTCTCCTGCCTCAGCCTCCTGAGTAGCTGGGTTGACAGGCACCTGCCACCATGCCCGGCTAATATTTTGTATTTGTTTTTTTAGTAGAGATGGGGTTTCACCATGTTGGCCAGGCCGGTCTTGATCTCCTGACCTCGTGATACACCCACCTCGGACTCCCAAAGTGCTGGGATTACAGGTGTGAGCCACTGCACCCGGCCTATTTATTTATTTTTGAGATGGAGTCTTGCTCTCTCTCACCCAGGCTGGAGTGCAGTGGCACGATCTTGGCTCAGTGCAACCTCCGCCTCCCGGGTTCAAGCGATTCTCCTGCCTCAGCCTCCCAAGTAGCTGGGTTGACGGGCACCAGCCACCACGCCAGGCTAATTTTTGTATTTTTAATAGAGATGAAGTTTCCCCATGTTGGCCAGGCTGTTCTCGAACTACTGACCTCAAGTGATCTGCCCACCTCGGCCTCCCAAAGTGCTGGGATTACAGGCGTGAGCCACCACGCCCGGCCCAATCTGTGGTTTTTTTGGGGCTTGCCTTTTTTTCACAGAATGCTATCTTTTCAGATTCATAAACATTGTAGCCTGTCTCAGAGCTTCACTCCTTTACTGTTTTTTATTTTATTTTATTTTATTTTACATTTATTTATTTCTTCACTTATTTATCTTTTGAGATGAAGCCTTGCTGTCACCAGGCTGGACTGCAACGGTGCGATCTGGGCTCGCCTCCCAGGTTCAAGTGATTCTCCTGCCTCAGCCTCCCGAGTAGCTGGGGTCACAGGCGCCCACCACCACGCCAGGCTAATTTTTGTATTTTTAGTAGAGACGGGGTTTCACCATGTTGGTCAGGCTGGTCTTGAACTCCTGACCTCCGATGATCCACCCGCCTTGGGCTCTCAAAGTGCTGGGATTACAGGCATGAGCTACCTCGCCCGGCCCTTCGTTTTGCTGGGTTTTAAAATCATCCCAAAGAGACCCTGTGGGCCAGTTATAGAGACAGTGGCTGGTGCTCTTTGAGGGGGATTCTGCTATTTAAAAGTCCAGAGGGTACCCTGAGGGCAGATCACCTGAGGTCATGAGTTCGAGACCAGCCTGGCCAACATGGTGAAACCCCTTCTCTACGAAAAATATAAAAATTAGCCGGGTGTGGTGGTGGACGCCTGTAATCCCGGCTACTTGGGAGGCTGAGGCAGGAGAATCGCTTGAACCCAGGAGGCGGAGGTTGCACTGAGCCGAGATCGCTCCACTGAACTCCAGCCTAGGCGAGAGAGCAAGACTCTGTCTCAAGAATAAATAAATAGGCCAGGCGCCAGTGGCTCAAAAATAAATAAATAGGCCAGGCACCAGTGGCTCACGCCTGTCATCCCAGCACTTTGGGAGGCAGAGGCGGGTGGATCACGAGGTCAGGAGATCGAGACCATCCTGGCTAACACGGTGAAACCCCATCTCTATTAAAAAAATACAAAAAATTAGCCAGGTGTGGTGGCAGGTGCCTGTCAATCCAGCTCCTCGGGAGGCTGAGGCAGGAGAATCGCTTGAACCCATGAGGCGGAGGTTGCAGTGAGCCGAGATCGTGCCACTGCACTCCAGCCTGGGTGACAGAGCAAGACTTAGACACACACACACACACACGCATACACACACAGGAGACTTAGACACATACACACACACACACACGTCCTGAGGATATTTCTTCCCACGGAATGCTACCTGTTCATTTCTACGTGTCTTGTGCCCTTAAAGTAAAGGTGGTGTCTTATCCTCAGCTGTCTCTGTGCACAGGGCCAGAGGAAGGAGTCTTGAGTTTCTTGGAAACAGTACCTGGCTGTAGTGCGGCTTAATCTCTGTCTCTTGAGCTGACCAGCCAGGTGAATTTGCCCCAAGTCACATTGGAAAAAGCTGGGCCTCTCTGCTCAGCAAACTGGGAGAGAAAAATTACAATCAGATTGGGTGCGCTCATTACTCCGACGGCAAACACTGAAAAAAATGCCTTAGGTTATTTATTTATCTCGTTATTGATGTATTGGTGTGAATTACATCACTGAAGTACTTTGAAATATGTAGCTTTGCCATGGAATACGCTATAAGGAAGAAAGAAATCACGTCCTTTGTGGCAACCTGGATGCAGCTGGGGAATATTATCCTAAGATCATTATCACAGGAACACAGAAACAAATCCTGCATGTTCTCAACTTATAAGTGGGAGCTAAGTGTTGGATATACGTGGATATAAACATGGGAACAACAGAAGCTGGGGGACTAGCAGAAGAGAGGGAGGGAGGGAGGAAGGGAGGGAGGCTAGGGTTGAAAACCTCAAATAGCCACGAAGCCTTATTGAGCAAATGCAAAGTGTCTGGCGTGTTTGGCTGGGTGAGGTGGCTCACACCTGTAATCCCAGCACTTTAAGAGGCTGTAGCAGGTGGAAGGTTTGAGCGCAAGAGCTTGAGACCGGCAACATGGCAAGACGTCATCTTTACAATTTTTTTTTTTAAATTAGCTAGGTGTGCTGGTGCACACCTGTAATCCCAGCTACTTGGGAAGCTGAGGGGTGAGGATTGCTTGAACCCGGGAGCCGGAGGTTGCAGTGAGCTGAGATTCCACCACTGAACTCCAGCCTGGGCAACAAAGTGAGAGTCTGTCTCAAAAAAAAAAAACAAAAAAGAAGAAGAAGAAAGAAAGAAAACAAAAAAGAAAAAAAAAAGAAAAGAAAAGAAAGGCAAGGCAGGGCAGGGCAGGGCAACCTCCTGGTTACTATGCTCAGTATCAGGGTGAGGGGATCACTTGTACCCCAAACCCGAACATCACACAATATTCCCATGTAACACACCTCCTACTCAGGAGACCGAGGCAGGAGAATCGCTTGAACCCGGGAGGCGGGAGATCACACCACTGTACTCCAGCCTGGGCAACAAGAGAGAGATTTTGTCTCAAAAAATAAATAAATAAATAAATGAAATTCCAAATTATTATATACAAATATATATGCAGCTTTCCAAGGACAAATGGACTGTTCTAAAAAAAAAAAAGGCCCCCACGGTGGGTGATGCCTGTAATCCCAGCACTTTGGGTTGGGAGGCCGAGGCAGGTGGATCACGAGGTCAGGAGATCAAGACCATCCTGGCTAACATGGTGAAACCCCGTCTCTACTGAAAAAAAGATACAAAAAAATTATCCGGGCGTTGTTGCAGATGCCTGTCAACCCAGCTACTCAGGAGGCTGAGGCAGGAGAATCACTTGAACCTGGGAGATGGAGGTTGCCGTGAGCCGAGATCACACCACTGCACTCCAGCCTGGTCGACAAGAGTGAGATTTTGTCTCAAAAAATAAATAAATAAATAAATGAAATTCCAACATTATTATATACAAATATATATGCAGCTTTCCAGGGACAAATGGACTGTTCTAAAAAAAAAAAAAAAAAGGCTGGGCACAGTGGCTCATGCCTGTCATCCCAGCACTTTGGGAGGCAGAGGCTGGTGGATCACGAGGTCAGGAGATCGAGACTATCCTGGCTAACATGGTGAAACTCCATCTCTACTAAAAATACAAAAAATTAGCCGGGCATGGTGGCGGGTGCCTGTAGTCCCAGCTACTCGGGAGGCTGAGACAGGAAAATGGTGTGAACCCGGGGGGCGGATGTTGCAGTGAGCCGAGATCGCACTACTGCACTGCAGCCTGGGTGATAGAGCAAGACTCCGTCTCAGGGAAAAAAAAAAAAAAAGGCTTAAGTGTTAAACAACAACAATGCTTAAGTGTTAAACAACAATAACAAAAAAGGAAACCATTAGAGGATTCTGTCAGTGATTCATGGAGACTGGCTTGGCGAATGCCGTTGAAAAGAAGGGCCATCCTCCCAGACTCCAGGTGATAGACAGGTGGACGCCTAAGAGGAAAGCATTTATTTTCCATGTTTAAATCGTTATTAATCAAGACACATACTGCAAAACATTTCTTGGAAGGGAGCAACGTGAACCAGCCATGGGCTGCCTGAAGAGCCCCAGATGTAAACCATTACATTATCTGAGGATTAAAGTGTGTTCACATTTCCAGTTTTGCCCATCAGGAAGGCATGTGATTTGAAAGTGTAATTGGCCAATGTCATTTTTGGGGAAACGCACAGCGTGCTGTGGACGTATTAACTTACTGTAAAGAATGTATGGGGCGTGTGGCCTCCTTGCAGGATTCTGGGACATGGGGTGAAGTCCCCACTATCAATGGGCACCCACAGGTGTGTGGATACCCCACCCACCAGAGGCTCCAGCATGATTTACCCACCAGAGGCTCCAGCATGATTTACCCACCAGAGGCTCCAGCATGATTTACCCACCAGAGGCTCTAGCATGATTTACCCACCAGAAGCTTCAGCATGATTTACCCACCAGAGGCTCCAACATAATTTACCCACCAGAAGCTCCAGCATGATTTACCCACCAGAGGTTCCAGCATGATTTACTCACCAGAAGCTCCAGCATAATTTACCCACCAGAAGCTCCACCATGGTCCACCCACCAGAAGCTCCAGCATGGTCCACCCATCAGAAGCTCCAGCATAATTTACCTCCAAGAAGCTCCCACTATGGTCTACTCACCAGAAGCTCCAGCATTGTCCACCCACCAGAAGCTCCAGCATGGTCCATCCACCAGAAGCTCCAGCATGATCCACCCACCAGAAGCTCCAGCATGATCCACCCACCAGAAGCTCCAGCATGGTCCACTCACCAGAAGCTCCAGCATGGTCCACCCACCAGAAGCTCCAGCATAATTTACCCATGAGAAGCTCCAGCATGGTCCACCCACCAGAAGCTCCAGCATGATTTACCCACGAGAAGCTCCAGCATAATTTATCCACCAGAAGCTCCACCGTGGTCTACTCACCAGAAGCTCCAGCATGATTTACCCACCAGAAGCTCCAGCATGATTTACCCCACCAGAAGCTCCAGCATGCTCCACCCACCAGAAGCTCCACCATGGTCTATCCACCAGAAGCTCCACTATGGTCCACCTACCAGAAACTCCAGCATGCTTCACCCACCAGAAGCTCAGCATGGTCCATCCACCAGAAGCTCCACCATGGTCTACCCACCAGAAGCTCCACCATGGCCCACCTACCAGAAGCTCCAGTATGGTTCACCCACCAGAAGCCCCAGCATGGTCCACCCACCAGAAGCTCCACCATGGTCTACTCACCAGAAGCTCCAGCATTATTTACCCACCAGAAGCTCCACCATGGTCCACCCACCAGAAGATTCAGCATCGTCCACCCACCAGAAGCTCCAGCATCGCCCACCCACCAGAAGCTCCATCATGGTCCACCCACCAGAAGCTCCAGCTTCTTCTAAAAAGCTGATGCTGTTTGCCGTATTTGCTTTCTTTTTCTGGGAGGTGGAGGTTGCAGTGAGCCAAGACTGCACCACTGTACTCTGGCCTGAGCAACAAAGGCAGAGACTCCATCTCAAACAAACATACAAACACAACAAAAACAAACAAACAAACAAACAAAAACACTTTATTTTAGGTCCAGGGGTACCTGTGCGGGTTTGTTATATAGGTAAACTCATGTCATAGGGGTTTGTTGTACAGATTATTTTGTCACCCAGGTACAAACTTTGTACACAATAAGTTATTTTTTTCTGATCCATTTCCTCCTCCCAACCTGCACCCTTAAAGAAAATGTGCCACATATGCATGGAATACTATGCAGCCATAAAAAAGTATGAGCTCATTTCCTTTACAGGAACACAGCTGGAGCTATGGTATGCTTAGCAAACCAATGCAGGAACAGAAAACTAAATACCACACGTTTTCATTTAAAAGTGGGAGCCAGCTGGGTGTGGTGGCTCACACTTATAATTCCATCACATTGGGAGGCCAAGGTGGGTGGATCACTTAAGGTCAGGAGTTTGAGACCAGCCTGGCCAACATGATGAAACCTCATTTCTCCTAAAAATACAAAAATTAGCTGGGCTTGGTGGCGCGTGCCTGTAATCCTAGACACTTGGGGGTCACTGAGGCAGAAGACTCACTTGAACCTGGGTGGTGAAGGTTGCAGTGAGCCGAGATCGCGCCACTGTACTCCAGCCTGGGCGGCAGAGTGGGACTCAGTCTCAAAATAAATAAATAAATTTAAAAATAAAGATCCTATCATGAAAGAGCATTACCAGCTGGGCACAGTGGCTCATGCCTGTAATTCCAGCACTCTGGGAGGCCGAGGAGGGCAGATCATTTGAGGACAGGAGTTCTAGACCAGCCTGACCAATATGGTGAAGTCCTGTCTCTACTGAAAATACAAAAGTTAGCCAGGAGTGCTGGCAGACACCTGTAATCCCAGTGACCCAGGAGAATCACTTGAACTCGGGAGGTGGAGTGTACAGTGAGCCGAGATCTTGCCACTGCAGTCCAGCCTGGGTGACAGAGTGAGACTCTGTCTCAAAAAAAATTAATTAATTAAAAATAAAAGTGAGAGCTAAATGATGAGAACCTATGGACAAGAGACACTGATTTTTTTTCCTGGTGTTACCCACATCATGAAGAATATTGTTTTTTCACCCCACTGATGCTTGGAACCACTTGTCAAGCAGTTTTCTCATATTGTTTTATTTAAATAGAAGGAAGAAGGGAAGACTCTGACCTTCCAGGGTACCTGGGGAGGTAAGAAGTAATCTATGTAACAGGAATGGGGAAAGAGAGCAGGTAGGTAGAGAGACGAGTGTTTTTTTTTTTTTTGGAGATGGAGTCTCACTCTGTCAGCCAGGCTGGAGCGATCTCTGATCACTGCAACCTACACCTCCCGGGTTCAAGCAATTCTCCTGCCTCAGCCTCCCAAGTAGTTGGGATTACAAACATACAAACACAACAAAAACAAAAAACAAACAAACAAAAACACTTTTATTTAGGTCTAGGGGTACATGTGTGGGTTTGTTATATAGGTAAACTCATGTCATAGGGGTTTGTTGTACAGATTATTTTATCACCCAGGTACAAAGCTTTGCACACAATAAGTTATTTTTTTCTGATCCTTTCCCTCCTCCCAACCTTCACCCTTAAAGAAAATGTGCCACATATGCATGGAATACTATGCAGCCGTAAAAAAGGATGACCACCATGCCTGGCTAATTTTTGTATTTTTAGTAGAGACAGGGTTTCACCATGTTGGCCAGGCTGGTCTCGATCTCCTGACCTCATGATCCACCAGCCTTGGCCTCCCAAAGTGCTGGGATTACAGGCATGAGCCACTGCACCTGGCCAGTTGACTGCTTTTGTAATCAAGAAACCTTGTGATATATAAATAGCCACTTTCCAAAAAAAAAAAAAAATCACCAGAATACCTCCAGTATTGACAAGCTGTGGGGTGTTGAGAGAATTCGAGATTGTCTTAGCAGCCTGGGACCTTTCCGTAGTCCTGAACAGAACAGTGGACGATGATCTCATTGTTGAATCAGGAGGATGTGCTCCTATTCACAACAGCAAAGACTTGGAACCAACCCAAATGCCCATCAGTGATAAACTGGATAAAGAAAATGTGGCACATAGACACCATGGAATACTATGCAGCCATAAAAAGGGATGCATTCATGTCCTTTGCAGGGACATGCATGAAGCTGGAAGCCATCATTCTCAGCAAACTAACACAGGAACAGAAAACCAAACACCGCATGTTCTCACTCATAAGAGGGAGTTGAACAATGAGAACACATGGACACAGAGAGGGTAACATAACACACTGGGGCCTGTCTGGGGGTTGGGGGAAAGGGGAGGGACAGAATTAGGACAAATACATAATGCAGGCAGGGTTTAAAACCTAGATGATGGGTTGATAGGTGCAGCAAACCACCATGGCACATGTATACCTATGTAACAAACCTGCACGTTCTGCAAATGTATACCATAACTTGAAGTGAAGAAGGAGAAGGAGAAGGAGGAGAAGGAGAAGGAGAAGGAGAAGGAGAAGGAGAAGAAGAAGAAGAAGAAGAAGAAGAAGAAGAAGAAGAAGAAGAAGAAGAAGAAGAAGGAGAAGGAGAAGGAGAAGGAGAAGGAGAAGGAGAAGAAGAGGAGGAGGAGGAGAAGGAGGAGGAGGAGAAGGAGGAGGAGGAAGGGGAAGGGGAAAAAGAAGAAGAAGAAGGAGAGGAGGAAGAAGAGGAAGAGGGAGAAGAGGTAGAAGAAGGAGAAGAAAGAGAAGGAGAGGAGGAAGGGGAAGAAGAGGAAGAAGAAGAAGAAGGAGAAGGAGAAGGAGAAAAGAAGGAGGAGGAGGAGCGGGAGGAGCAGGAGGAGAAGAAGAAGGAGGGTGTGTTCACATGGAAATTTGCTTCTAGCACCCAGTGGTTAAAAGGCACGCAAAACCTGTAATCACAGAGAGGGTGGTGATGATGGTTTTTAAACATGTCATTCATTTGGAAGAAAACACTTGTGTCTTTACTTGTCTAGATGTAATGCCAAGTACCCACCCTTCCTGTATAGACAGAACTTCATTTACTATTTATTCAAGTTCCTCAAAGAGCAGGGTGAAATAGTTCCCTTTTCTATTTGGGGGGAAATGGGTTATTATTTACGGGGGTTTTGTTAAGAGAATTGTAAATGATTTCTTCCCTGTCATCTGTCCAAACAGCTCAAGGGGGAACTTTATTAGAACCAAAGCATGTATTAAAAAGTCTCGGCCAGGCACGGTGGCTCACATCTGTAATCCTAGCACTCTGGGAGGCCGAGGTGGGGGGATTACCTGAGGTCAGGAGTTCAAGACCAGCCTGGCCAAGAAGGTGAAACCTGTGTCTACTAAAAATACAAAAATTAGCCGGACAAGGTGGAAGGTTCCTGTAATCTCATCTGCTCGGGAGGCTGAGGCAGAGAATTGCTTGAACGCAGGAGGCAGAGGTTGTGGTGAGCCGAGATCGTGCCACTGCACTACAGCCAGGGTGACAGAGTGAGACTCTGTCTAAAAAATAAAAATAAAAATGAAGTCTCTAAAATCTTCATTGAAAACTCATTTCGTCTCAAGACATCATTTATTTTGCAAATGTATTCTTCATGGTAGCATGTGAATTTGTAATGTGATATAGAAATTTTGGAATTTACTTTTTTGTTGTTTTTTGGTTGTTATCTTTCTTTTTTTAAAATTTTATTATTATTATACTTTAAGTTTTAGGGTACATGTGCACGACATGCAGGTTGGTTACATATGTATACATGAATTTACTTTTAAAAAGTTTTAAATAAGAAGGAAATACTTTCTAGGTAAATTTAATTGTATATAGAAGACCTAATGGGTGAGAATCTGCCTTGAAAGCTGGAGACACGTCAATAAATAAGAATACACAATTAGAATAAGAAAGAGTAACAAACACTCTGCCCTCTAAAGCTTCCATCCTGCTTGGAGAAACCAAGAAAAACCCGAGAATCTTGGCCAAATACAATCTAGGGTAATGCAGTCAGGGAGCTGTCTGGTGAGTGTTGGAGGCCCCATAGGAACGCTGAGGAAGAAGAAGTTGAGGAAGAAGAAGACGCTTGTCACTAGAATTCTAAGAATAAGAAAGGACAAAGACAAAGTGATTTCACCAACGATGTCCAAGTTCTAATTATCTCGTGGTAGACAGAATAATGGCCCCAAAGATATCCATGTCTTAATCCCCATGTGGTAGACAGAATAATGGCCCTAAAGATGTTACCAATATCCTATTCCCCATGTGGTAGACAGAATAATGTCCCCAGAGATGTCCATGTCCTAATCCCCATGTGGTAGACAGAATAATGGCCCCAAAGATGTCCACATCCTAATCCCCATGTGGGAGACAGAATAATGATCCTAAAGATGTGACCAACATCCTATTTCCCATGTGGTAGACAGAATAATGGTCCCAGAGATGTCCATATCCTAATCCCCATGAGGTAGACAGAATAGTGGTCCCAAAGATGTCCACATCCTAATCCCGTGTGGTAGACAGAATAATGGCCCCAAAGATGTCCATGTCCTAATCCCATGTGGTGAAAACAATAATGTTCCCAAAGATCTTCACATCCTAATCCCATGTGAGAGACAGAATAATGGCCTCAAAGATGTCCACATCCTAATCCTCATGTGGGAGACAGAATAATGGCCCCAAAGATGTCCACATCCTAATCTCCATTTGGTAGACAGAATAATGGCCTCAAATATGTCCATGTCCTAATCCCATGTGGCAGACAGAATAATGGCCCCAAAGATGTACACATCCTAATCCCCATGTGGCAGACAGAATAATGGCCCCAAAGATGTCCACGTCCTAATCCCCATGTGATAGACAGAATAATGGCCCCAAAGATGTACACATCCTAATCCCCACGTGGCAGACAGAATAATGGCCCCAAAGATGTCCACGTCCTAATCCCCATGTGGTAGACAGAATAATGACCCCAAAGATGTCCACATACTAATCCCCATGTGGTAGACAGAATAATGGCCTCAAAGATGTACACATCCTTATCCCCACATGGCAGACAGAATAATGGCCCCAAAGATGTCCACATCCTAATCCCCATGTGGGAGACAGAATAATGGTCCCAAAGATACCCATGTCCTAATCCTCATGTGATACAGAGAATAATGGTCCCAAAGATGTCCATGTCCTAATACTAGGTAGCAGACAGGATAATGGCCCCAAGGATGTCTACATCCTAATCCCCATGTGGTTGACAGAGTAAGCACCCCCTTCCCCCCCTCAAAAAAAAATCCACATCCTAATTCTAGAAATCTGTAAAAACCTGTCATGGCTAAAAAGATTTTGCAGATGTGATTAGTTTAAGAATCATGAGATGAAATGACCCTGGATTATCCAGCTGGGTCTAAGATCATCACAGGATCTTTGTAAGAGGGAGGCAGGAGTGCCAGAGCCAGAGGAGGTGATGTTAGGACAAAAGCAAAGGTCAGAGTCACAGAGAAATTAGAAGATGCTGCACTACTGGCTCTGAAGTTCAAGGAAGGGTCCAGGAGCCAAGAAATACTCTAGAAACATTCCCCTAGAAGCAGGAAATGGCAAGGAAACTGATTCTCCCCCAGAACTTGCATCAAGAGGGAAGTTTTGCTGACACCTTGGTTTTAGGCCAGTGAGACCCAGGGTGGGCTTCAAAACTACAACACTGTAAGACAATACATTTGTGTTGCTTTAAGCCAATACGAATGTGATCATTGGTGATGGCGGCCAGAGGACACTCACAGAAGGAGTAATGTACTGGAGGTCTGCAGCAGGAATGAATTTGGCATGACTGGGGGGATGCCCAAGGGGGCAGCAAAGAAGAACAAGCAAAGGCTAAACGTGATGACTCCTTGTTTTAGAAGAACCCCCTTCAGAAGAAGAATCAGTAAAGCAAAGCTGAACTCAACTTTGTCTTCTTTTCTTCCCCAGACATAATTTACGTTATTTTATTGGGACCACAGAGTCCCAGTTGGAGCAAGTGACCAGGGACAGAGTTACAAAGAAGCCATAGGGAAGTAGTTAGATTGTATTCTGACTTCGATGTGAAATTATTGGCGGGTTTTGAGTGGCAATGAGGGATGTCTTATTCAGCTCGGGTTGCCATAACAAAAATTATAGACTGGGTGGCTTAAGTAACAGCCATTGATTTCTCACAGTTCTGGAGATGGGGAAGTCCGAGATCAAGGTATGGCAGATTTATTGTCTGGAGTGGGTCCTCTTGCTGGTTCACAGATGGTGCGTTCAGAGAGAGAAAGAGAGAGAGAGAGAGCACTTTTGTGTCTCTCGCTCTTCTTATAAGGATACTAATCCCGTCATGAAGGACCCATCCTCATGACCTCATCTAAACCTCATCACCTCCAGAGACTTCACCTCCTAATATCATCCCATTGGGGATTAGGGTTTCCATATGGTGCATTTTGGAGGGACATGACTAGTAGGGGTTAGGCCTTCAACATACAAATTTTGGGAAACTTTGCTATTTAGTCATTAGCAAGGGATGAGGACCACAAGCTAAAAATCATCTCTATTTTTGAAAGATTTCTCTGCTTAAGAATAATTCCAGGATCAAAGCAGAAACCAGGACAGAAGCCAAGAGATCAATCAAGAGGATGTGGCTATGATCCAGATGACATATGTCATGCATGAGGGTGAAGAAAGCAAAGGCAGGAAAATCTGATCCAATTTGACAAATATTTGAGGTCATTCAAGAGACTTGCCAATGAATTGTATAAGGGGGAGATGAGAGAAAGAAGAGTTCAAAGTTTCCAAAGTCTTCTGCCAAAACACTTCTCAGGGGTGGTGGTGAATCCAGTGAAGGCTTTCCAGATGGTTTGGGATGGGTTAACTTGGAAGCCCTAATCATTTATCTGAGCTGAGAAGTTGAGGATACAGTTACATGCATGAATCTGAAGTAGAGAAAAGATGTCAAAGCCAGAGATGGGAATTTAGGATTTTGAGTGGATGTGTCAAGTCTTGGGGCTGAGTGAGATCCCCTGGAGAGAGAAGGAAGCTTATGTTTGAGCCCTAGTTCAGCCCAACATTTAGAAGAACCCCTTTGGGAAGAGGAGAAGAACGAGCAAAGGCTAAATGTGACTCCCTGTTTTAGAAGAACCTCCTTCAGAAGAAGAATCAATAAAGCAAAGGCTGAACTCAACTTTGTCTTCTTTTCTCCCCCAGACATAATTTATGTTCTTTTATTGGGAGTTTGTTTCCCACTCAACCTTTCAGGTTAGAGCTCTGAAGTCACGTTTGATTTTTCCCTCAACATCAAAGAGACACAACAGTTTGCTTCTGTGGTGACTGTTTTTTGTTTGTTTTTGTATTTTTGTTTTTTTGTTTTTGTGTGTGTGTTTGTGTTATTTTAATTTGTTTGTTTGTTTGAGACAATGTCTCACTCTGTCACCTGGGCTGGAGTGCAGTGGCACAATCTCAGCTCACTGCAACCTCCACCTCCTGGGCTTAAGTGATCCTCCCACCTCAGCTCCCCTAGTAGCTAGGACTACAGGCACACACCACCACTCCTGGCTATTTTTTCTATTTTTAATAGAGATGGGGGTCTCATCATGTTGCCCAGGCTGGTCTTGAACTCCGGAGCTCAAGTGATCTGCCTGTCTTGACCTCTCAAAGTGCTGGGATTACAGGTGTGAGCCATGGTGCCCAGCCTCACTGGTGACTTTGAATGCCTTCTCACTTCTTCCTTCCCACTCCATGCTCCAGGTTCAAAGACTCCATTACCACCATCCATCCCATGCCAGAGTCTCCAGGCTTCCATCTTCAGTGCCATCCCTTCTCATCCATCCTATGCATGGGTTCCAAGGTAATAGGTCTAAACACATTTAGACCTATTTAATATGTATAAGCATAAATGTTGACATGACTGGTCACAAAATGTTGGTGGTTTCTCATCAACTGCAGAGAATAGTTCAGGATCCTTACCTAAGTGTCTGAAATCTTTCATAAATTCACACATGGAAAGATGTGGCCTCTCTGTCTGTACTTCATCACATCACACCCAGCACCTCAATCTCTGACTCCATCATCAATTTCCTAGTTCCCTGAGTTTGCCTGCCCAGCCCTGAGTCATTGTAACATCTGATTCATCTTTTAAAGTTTAACAACAACAACAACAAAATCATCTGCTCTGAGAAGCCAGCCTTTCTCAGGTGCAGAGATTATCCCAGAGATAGACATATGGTTCAAAACAGGCTAGTTAACCTTCCCCTGAATTTGATCAGCAAAGACTGAGAGGGTGGTGGGAGAAGCTCAGACTGTGAATCTATAGCTGCAGCAGCTGGATTTTTTTTTTCCATCCTATATTCCAAGACTTTTTCTGAGAGAATCTAGTCTGGAACCCAGAGAGAAGCAGAGAGTTGAGAGAGTCATCAGAACTTGGGAGATCCCTGAGAAGCTGTCCACCTCTACTTTTTGAGACTGTTTTTCCTAGACTCCCTTGCAGCTCTGTGTGACTGTATGATGAACTTTGAGCTCATGAGAAGTAAGTAGGAATGTATTAAGACCATAAAAATCTCTTTAATTTTGTAAAAAAGTGAATGTGAACTATTCCCTCTCCTTTTGCTGCTAGCTGCAATGGAGATGTGAGGGCTGGAGACCATGCCACCATATTGAACCATGAGTAGAAAGTCACATACTAAAATAGTGGAGCAACAACATTCAAAATGCCTGACATCTTGAATCTGTACAATAACCTGGACCCCTTGTTCTGGCCTCCTATCATATCAGAGAGAAACAAACTTCCATCTTATTTAAGTCATGGTTATTTGCTTATTTCCATACATTTGTTTATGCAGTTATACGATATTTATTCCATCTATCTATTATCTATCTATCTATCATCTATCCTATCTATCTAACCATCTACCCATCATCTATCCTATCTTTCTATCCCTCTCTCTATCATCTATCATCCTTCTTATTCTATGTGACTATCTATCAACCATCTTATTCTAACTATCTATCTATCTATCTACCTATCTATCATCTCTCCTATCTAATCTATTTATCTATGTATCTATCCATCTTATCTATCTACCTATCATTTATCTATCCTGTGTATCAATGTATCTATCATGTATCTATCTGTCCTAGTTATCTATCAATTATGTATCTATCCATCCTATTTATCTACCTATTTTATGTATCCATTAAACATCTACATATCTATATATATTACCTATCATCTAGCTATTTATCTATCCTATGTATTTATCATCTATTTATTCTATCTATATCTATTTTTTTCTCTATCTATGTCTCTATCTATCTATCTATCTATCTAGAGATTTCTTAAGTCCTTGGGAATCCTGAGGTCAGCTCCATCATAGGATCTCACAGTTATATTAGTTCAACAATTTTCTTTCTCTGCCTAACTTACTCTGAGTTGTGTTTCAGTTGCTGTTGATTGGAACAAACCTCAAAAAGAAATTGGGACTACTATAATATTGCATTTATGGGTGGCTGACTTATGATGCTGCCTTCCTTGTCTCTGGATCCTGAGTCCTGCATCCAACCCAGTTCCACAGCCTGGGTATCTAACCGTTTCCCTGGAACTCAGTAACATTTGAACTGAAATGCCATTTTCTTGTTGGGATCATTATAATACTTTGGAAAACTGCCTTGGAATTAATGTGGTTACTCTTTGCATCTGTAAAATAAACAGGCATTTCTTTAGAAGGAGAAACTAAAGTTTCACAAAGACCTTCAGGGTCTGTTTTTCTTACACCAGAAGTCACACTCAGGCCAAGTAACATGTTCTGGTTCTGGCCCTTAGTGCTCCTGGTTGGACTAATGCCTGGGGCTCCCTCAAGGATTTCCTTCCCCATCTCTCCCTATTTTAGCCTCTCCCCAGGGGAAGAGGACATTGCTTTCATATCCTAACACCTTACCTGAAAATCCCCCATGTCTCTAAAATAAAGATGGAGGAAGCTCCCCCCCCATTATTTATTTATTTACTTACTTTTTTGAAAGACAGTCTCGCTCTGTCACCCAGGCTGGAGTGCAGTGGCTCGATCTCCGCTCACTGCAAGCTCCGCCTCCCGGGTTCACGCCATTCTCCTGCCTCAGCCTCCCGAGTAGCTGGGACTACAGGTGCCCGCCACCACGCCTGGCTAATTTTTTTGTATTTTTAGTAGAGACGGGGTTTCACCGTGTTAGCCAGGATGGCCTCGATCTCCTGACCTCATGATCCGCCTGCCTCGGCCTCCCAAAGTGCTGGGATTACAGGTGTGAGCCACCGTGCCCGGCCTCTCTCCCTCTTTCTATGTATATGTCAGTCTTTCTCTCTCTGTGTCTCTCTTAGTGTCTCTCTTTCTTTGTATCTGTCCCTCTGTTTCTGTGTCTCCCTCTTTCTATCACTATCTCTCTGTGTGTTGCTGTCTCTTCATCTCTGTCTCCCTCTCTCTCTCTGTCTGTCTCTGTTTCTGCTTCTCTGTCTCCATCTCTTTCTCTCTCTGTGTCTCTCTTAGTGTCTCTCTGTCTGTCTGTCTTTCTCTCCATCTCTGTATCTGTCCCTCTGTTTCTGTGTCTCCCTCTTTCTATCACTGTCTCTCTGTGTGTTTCTGTCTCTTCATCTCTGTCTCCCTCTGTGTGTCTGTCTCTGTTTCTGCCTGTCTCTGTCTCTCTGTCTCCATCTCTTTCTGTGTCTCTCTTAGTGTCTCTCTGTCTGTCTCTGTCTTTCTCTCCATCTCTGTATCT
This sequence comes from Homo sapiens, assembly GCF_000001405.40. Lineage (NCBI taxonomy): Eukaryota > Metazoa > Chordata > Mammalia > Primates > Hominidae > Homo > Homo sapiens. The sequence continues at coordinate 11,049,035 of NC_000022.11, forward strand.
GTCCCTCTGTTTCTGTGTCTCCCTTTCTATCACTGTCTCTCTGTGTTTCTGTCTCTTCATCTATGTCTCGCTCTCTCTGTGTATCTGTCTCTGTTTCTGCTTCTCTGTCTCTGTCTCTCTGTCTCCATCTCTTTCTCTCTCTGTGTCTCTCTTAGTGTCTCTCTATCTGTCTCTGTCTTTCTCTCCATCTCTGTATCTGTCCCTCTATTTCTGTGTCTCCCTTTTTCTATCACTGTCTGTCTGTGTGTTTCTGTCTCTTCATCTCTGTTTCCCTCTCTCTCTGTGGGTCTGTCTGTTTCTGCCTCTCTGTCTCTGTCTCTCTGTCTCCATGTCTTTCTCTCCACCTCCCTGTGAGGTGGGAGCCTCACCCTTAGCCCACTGGCTACCACCCTGGTCCACATCTTTCCCCCTAACACCGACAGACGTAAAAACCACAGCTCCTCCCAGGACACTGCCTCAATGTGGCCCCATTTCTCTTCATCAGATCTCTCCCTTCAATGCTAATAAGTCTGTCTCCAACTCCGCGTTTCTTTTGGGGAAAAAAAAAAAAGGAGAGGAAGGCTGGGCACAGTTGCTCACACCTGTCATCGCAGAACTTTGGGAGGCCGAGGCGGGTGGATCACAAGGTCAGGAGATTGAGACCAGCCTGGCCAGCAGGGTGAAATTCCGCCTCTACTAAAAACCCAAAAAATTAGCCGGCCATGGTGGCAGACACCTATGATCCCAGCTACTTGGGAGGCTGAGGCAGGAGAATCGCTTGAAACCAGGCGGCAGAGGTTGCAGTGTGTCAAGATCACGCCACTGCAATTCAGCCTGGGTGACAGAGCAAAACTCTGTCTCAAAAATAAAAGGGGGAAATATTCGATTAATAAACAACAGCCTCACATGTGCTCACCACTGGGTTGAAGCAAAGCCTTCTTCCAAAAGCAAAAATTGGAAAAATATGCTACCGACAGACTGCCCCTAAAGGTAATATTAAACAGGGACTCCAAAGGCAGAAGAGAAGCTGACCCAATGCGACATGAAAATTCAGGAAGGACACAACAGCGGTGAGAACTCAAGATAATGTGAGTAATTGTAAATACATATTGACCTTATAAAACGAGTCATTGCCAAATTTGATCTGGTGACCTGTATAAAATGTCAGCTTCTGAGGGGAGAACACTGTCCACAATAACAACAAGGCTGTACACATAGGCATGGTGGCCTTGGGGAGCGTTTGCCAGGCTGCAAAAGCCACCTCGCAGGTAGGTAGGCTGGAGCCAGGTGGGAGGTGGGTGGGAGCCAGGAGGAGCCGGAGGGCCCTCTCAGGCCGCTTCTCTGGGTAATGTCGTATTCGCCACACAGCAGCCTGGTGGCCCTGCCTGTTGCCTTCGAAAGAGAGCCTGCCATGATCCTGGCTGTTTCTGTCTCCAGGTACAATGAAGAACTGGCCCAGGGTGACAGGGCTGACCGGGAGCTGAGAAGTCGTCAGGGCCAGTCTCTGTGGCCCAGAGCAGGCCGATAGAGAGATCGGGGAGAGCTGTCCTCACCACCTGGAAGTGAGTCCCACCCAGACCTTATCAAAACTACTCACTCCACCTGGGCTGCTGCTGAAGCCCTATTTTGAAATTTCCCTTTTCCAGAGCTTTTTTCCTGTCCTAAGCCCCATAAATAAATGAAGGCACTTCTTTGGAAGGTTATGGAGTCTGTTTGACTAGTGCTAAAGGAAACAATTCACGCAGATGTATAAAACTTGCTTTTTAAAAAAAAAAAATTAACCTAAGCAGAATTTTCATATTAAAAACTCACTTTTTTTGACAGAAAGTAACAGCTTCAGCATATAATTTGATGTTTCACAAGGTTTAAACATTAAAAAAACTCTAAATTAAAAACAAAACAAATCTTATAGACTAGTCCTGCCATTAGAGAGGAATGTATTTAACTGACAGCTCTTTTAGTTGCGTTTCTTTTTACTAGACTGTGATATTTTTTTTTTTTCCTGAGACAGAGTTTTGCTCTGTCACCCAGGCTGGCGTGCACTGGCACAATCTCGGCTCACTGCAACCTCTGCCTCCTGGGTAGGCTCCCAAGTAGCTGGGATTACAGGCATGTGCCACCACACCCGGCTAATTTTTGTATTTTTAGTAGAGATGGGGTTTCACCATGTTGGGCAGGCTGGTCTCAAACTCCTAACCTCAGGTGATCTGCCCACCTCGGCCTCCCAAACTGCTGGGATTACAGATGTGAGCCACCATGCCCAGCTTACTTGACTGTGATTTTGAAGAAAAGAGGCAACTAGAAATATTCCTTTGTAATATATCTTTACAAAGGCCTTTGTCTAGGTGCTCCCAGGAAGACCTGTCTTCTTTTCTTTTCTTTTTTTTTTCTTTTCAGATAGGATCTCTCCCTGTCACCCAGGCTGGAGTGCCGTGGTGCGATCATGGCTCACTGCAGCCTCAACTTCCTGGGCTCAAGTGAGCCACCCGCCTCAGCCTCCGGAGTAGCGGGGACAACACAGGCACACACCACCACCCCCACCTAATTTTTAAAGTCTTTTGGTAGAGACAGAGTTTCACCATGTCAGCCAGGCTGGTCTCAAACTCCTGGGCTTAAGCAATCCTCCTGCCTAAGCATTCCAAAGTGTTGGGATTACAGGCATGAGCCACCATGCCTGGATTCAAATAGACCTGTTTCTACCACTTCAGTTTTGTGGATGAATCTGTTGTAAATTGAAGCAGATGAGTGAAGACAGGTCCAGCTGTGTGCCTTTTATGAAGTCAGCAGCTGAGTTTGCTGCAGGGAAGTGCCATGGGCAGCCAGGAGCTGTGGGAGGAGTGATGGCTGTGGGGACAGGCTGCACGAACATGGTGTTCCCATGCAGTTTCCCAGTAGCCCAGTGACTTACAGGCGTGTATGGAGAGGACCTGAGTTGGTGGGTAGATGGACAGATGCATCTGCGTAATAACTCATGAGTTACAGTGCTGTTCTTAGGAAGGGTCTTTTTTTTTTTTTTTTTTTTGAGGTGGAGTTTCACTCTTAACACCCTGGCTGGAGTGCAAAGACACAATCTAGGCTCACCGCAACCTCCACCTCCTGGGTTCAGGTGATTCTCCTGCCTCAGCCTCCCAAGTAGGTGGGATTACAGGCGCCCACCACCACGCCCAACTAATTTTTGTATTTTTAGTGGAGACAGGGTTTCACCATGTTGGCCAGGCTGGTCTCGAACTCCTGATCTCGGGTGATCCTCCTGCCTCGACCTCCGAAAGTGCTGATATTACACGCGTGAGCCACCGCGCCTGGCCAGGAAGGGCCTTTTACTCATGGTCATATTAACACGTATTTGCTGAAGTTTCACTCGCTGTCTTGAGTTTATCTTTAAAGCTTGCCACCTGTTTTTGTTGTGATGCTAGTAACAGGAGTTTGTTCTCCCAAATGGCACCAAGGGTATGTCCTTCAGATAAGGGTCTTCCCTGACTTGCCCAAGCTCTGTCAGTACCCATGCATGGACGTGTGTTAAGTGTACATGCTATATTGTGTGTGTGTTTATATGTGTACATATATTTAATGATGTTTCACTGCCAGTTAGGGAAAAATAGGTCTTTTCAACACATATGGTAGAATAGAAAGTGAGAGAAACATACATACAAATGGTACTTGGCTAGACTCCAAATAAACTGCAATTGGTGGACTTTTCAGCCGTTCCTTCTTCATGATCTTATTGGTATGTGTGTTGTGTGTGTTCCCTGGTGTTTAAGTTTTTGTTTTTGTTTTGTTTTGTTTCTTGAGACAGAGTCTTGCTCTGTCGTCCAGCAGGCTGGAGTGCAGTGGTGCGACCTCAGCTCACTGCAACCTCTGTCCCCTGGGTTCAAGAGATTCTCATGCCTCAGCCTCCCAAGAAGCTGGGATTACAGATGTACACCACCATGCCTGGCTAATTTTTGTATTTTTAGTAGAGATGGGGCTTCACCATGTTGGCCAGGCTGGTCTCAAACTCCCAACCTTAGGTGATCTGACTGCCTCAGCCTCCCAGAGTGCTGGGAATACAGGTGTGAGCCACTGCGCCCAGCCGTGGCATTTAGTTTTAATGTGTTTGCTGTTGATGGCGGGTGTGGGATGGAGATCCCCGAGTCAGACTTGGCCTTGTGGCCTGACTCTGCTGTTTATTAGCTGTTTCCCAAGCCTGTCCCTGGGGTCGTTGCACCTTTGTTTCCCACTGTATAAAATGGGGAGTTCAGTGGCCAGGCGCAGTGGCTCATGCCTGTAATCCCAGCACTTTGGGAGGCCAAGGAGGGTGGATCACCTGAGGTCAGGAGTTCGAGACCAGCCTGGCCAACATGGTGAAACCTCATCTCTACTAAAAATACAAAAATTAGCCTGGAGGCTGAGGCAGGAGAATCGCTTGAACCCAGGAGGAGGAGGTTGTGGTGAGCCGAGATCGCGCCATTACACTCAAGCCTGGGCAATAAGAGCGAAACTCCGTCTCAAAAAAAAAGGGTGGGGAGGAGTTCTGCTTGCCTCAGGAACAACCAGTGTCACTGCACAGGGACCCTGCCCACCCACCTCACTGGCTCTGGCGAGCCCTCTTATCCCCCAGGAGGGGGCATCCTTTGAACAGCTGGCGGCTCCACCTCGGCTCCTACACACAGAGGTGAAAGACACCCTGTTAACTGTTCCCAGCTCTTCCACCGGTTTTTACAACCCGGTTTTCAGTTACATTGTTTTGTTTTTGCCTCTCTCTGGGAGAAGGGTGGAGTCCCTGGTTGGGAACGTTGGCCTCTGAGGCTCCGGGGCCACGCAGTCCTAATGGAAGAGTCACACCAAGTGGTTAGTTTGCTGGTGACCCAGTTGCTAGGTGAGGGTGAGGCTCTGCTAAGTGGATTTATGTCATATAGTGACTGTCTCATTAATGATTTACTGATGTCATGTTCCGGGCAGATGTTTCCTCTGAGCACTTCCAGGACACAGGTGGGAAGGGTGCGGTGTTGGCAGCCAGCCTCAGGAGGCTGTCGGGCCAGGAACAGCCCCACTCAGCGCTAGGCCGGGCCCGAGCAGTGAGCCCTGCTGGGAGCTGTCCAGGAGCCGCTGTTGTTTTCTTGTCAGCCCCCACCCACTTGATGGGGTGGGTCCCAGGCCAGAGGGTTACATCCTGTGGTCGTTTTCACCAAGTTTGATAAGATTGGTTTTTCCCAATATAAACCCATCCTCCACTAGGCGCAGTAGCTCACGTCTGTAGTCCCAGCACATTGGGAAGCTGAGGTGGGTGGATCACCTGAGGTCAGGAGTTTGAGACCAGCATGGTCAACATGGTGAAACCCCATCTCTACTAAAAATACAAAAATTAGCTGGGTGTGATGGTTCATGCCTGCAATCCCACCTACTTGGGAGGCTGAGGCAGAAGAATCACTTGAACCCAGGAGGTGGAGGTTGCAGTGAGCCGAGATTGCACCACTGTACTCCAGCCTGGACAATGGAGCAAGACTCCATCTCAAACCAAACCAAACCAAACCAAACCAAACCAAAGCACTATCCTTCACCTCCTTTGCACACGGGCTTCTCCCTGGGTATTAGTGAGGGCCTGGTGACAACCTTCTCACTGTCTCCCTTCTCCTCCACCTCCCACCTGGGCTCCCATGGAGACCCCATCAGTCTGGGCCCGCATCTGGTTGCGCTCCACCGGCTGCTAGGACTTTCCTCACAGGGGGCCATTTCCCCTCCACACAGTGGTTCTTCAGGGGGATCCATAAAGCCTCCTATGCTTGCTGCCCGTTGGCCTGTTGGCTCACACTGCCACACACCATGTCCACAAGCGCCAAACACACGCAACTCCTCTCTGAGTCCTCCCATGGGCCAGCGCACTCTCCACCCTCCCCTCTGGAGCCATTCCCAGCTGTGTTGTGGCCATCTGGCCCTCTCCCCACAGCACCCCTGCAGCCTCTCTGGTCCGGGCAGGAGAAGGTCTCCTGCAGGGCCCTGCCTGCCGGTAACGGCACAGCGTCTGGGGCTGCTCAGCGACTGGGCACCCTCAGGCTGTTTGTGTGTCACCTAATGTGGACTGTGCCCCAGCAGAGGGCCCTGGGGCATGTGAGGACCCTTTGTGAGCAGGCGGGAGCACATCCACCTTTGATTCTAGTCCCTCATTGTGGAAGATGAGGGATTTTGATCTTCACTGATTTGCCCCAGCCTGAACCATATTAGATCTCACATCCTGTGAACAATGGCAGCCTCCTGCTTTTGTCCTGAGAAGCATTCGGAGCGCTCCTCCAGCGACAGATGCAAACCCACCTTGCTCATGCTCCTGCCCAGCCGCTGGCGCTCTGTCAGCAGGAATAAGTCTAGGGGCCTATGGCTTCCCTCAGGCCCAGGCCCACCCTGCCTGCCACTTGGCCAACATTCCCCCCCAACTCCAGCTTAACTCACCTGATCTCCCCTCCCCTCCCCAGGTTCACACCATTCTCGTGCCTCAGCCTCCCGAGTATGTGGGACTACAGGCGTCTGCTACCATGCCCAGCTAATTTTTTGTATTTTTAGTAGAGACAGGGTTTCACTGTGTTAGCCAGGATGGTCTCCATCTCCTGACCTCGTGATCCACCCACGTCGGCCTCCCAAAGTGCTGGGATTACAGGCATGAGCCACGGTGCCCGGCCTAGTTTTTTATTTTTAGTAGAGATGGGGTTTCACCATGTTGGCCAGGCTGGTCTTGAACTCCAGACCTCAAGTGATCCGCCAGCCTCCACCTCCCAAAGTGCTGGGATTACAGGCATGAGCCACCATGCCCAAGCCACCGTGCCTGGCTTCCAGTCAAATGTTTTTGAGTGATGGCATTAGTGTTCTTAGAGATGTGCCTCTGGGGCAGTTCAGAGGATGATGGAGCTGGTGAGAGGCTGGAGGGAGATCTGGCAGTGCAGGCCAGAATGTGAACTCAGGCAGAGCCCTAGGGGCAGGAGGAGGGGAGTTGTGCACAGGGAGCCTGCACACTGCGTGGAAGGGGACCTGAAGAGACTAGCAGTTCTCAATGGCCCAGTAGGGGGCGTGTGTTAAACGGGGTTTGAGCCCTGAACGTAGAAGGAGGTAAACTGCAAAGCTGCAGTAACAAACGTGCTTTTCAGAAGCTGTTCAGAAAGGCCACGCTACTCATGGTTATGAATAATGCAGCCTTAAGGCCATGGCTGAATAGCAAGAACGTCACTGGGCAGCTTCCCTTCCTGTATCTTGTACTGGTTAAAATGAAATCAGAACTTTTTGTTTTTTTGAGACAGAATCTTGCTCTGTTGCCCAGGCTGGAGTGCAATGGCGTAATCTCAATTCACTGCAACCTCCACCTCCTGGGTTCCAGTGATTCTCCTGGCTCAGCCGGGATTACAGGCACCTGCCACCATGCCCGGCTAATTTTTGTATTTTTAGTAGAGATGGGGTTTCACCATCTTGGCCAGGCTGGTCTTGAACTCCTGATCTGGTGATCCACCCGCCTCCCAGCACTGTATTCCCAAAGTGCTGGGAATACAGGTGGCAGCCACCACACCCAGCCTGATAGCTCTTTTTTTTGAGACAGGGTCTCGCTCTGTCGTCCAGGCTGGAGTGCAGTGGTATGATCACAGCTCACTGCAGCCTTGACCTCCTGGGGTGATCCTCACACCTCAGCCTCCCAAGTAGCTGGGATTACAGGTGCATGCCACCACACCCTACTAATTTTTATTTATTTTATTTTACTTTATTTTATTTTATTTTATTTTATTTTTTCAAACAGAGTCTCACTCTGTCACCCAGGCTGGAGGGCAATGGTGTGGTCTCAGCTCACTGCAACTTCTGCCTTCTGGATTCAAGTGATTCTCCCACCTCAGCCTCCTGAGTAGTTGGGATTACAGGCATGTGCTACCACATGCAGCTAACTTTTGTATTTTTAGTAGAGACAGGGTTTCACTATGTTGGCCAGGCTGGTCTTGAACTCCTGACCTCGTGCTCCACCCGCCTCGGCCTCCCAAAGTGCTGGGATTACAGGCATGAGCCACCGTGCCCAGCTGCTAATTTTTTATTTTTTTGCAGTGACAGAGTCTCACCATGTTGCCCAGGCTGGTCTTGAACTCCTGGCCTCAAGCAATTGGCCTGCCTTGGCCTCCCAAAGTGCTGGGATTACTAGTGTGAACCACTGCTCCCCTGAAGTGGTATCTTATTTTGGTTTTGATTTGCATTTTTTTCTGATGGCTAATGAGGTTGAGTATCTTTTCATGTGCTTATTGGCCATTTGTATACCTTCCCAGGAGAAACTGTTCTGATTTTTTTTTCTTGAGACAGGGTCTTACTCCATCACCTAGGCTGGAGCACGGTGGCACAATCACAGCTCACTGCAGACTCAACCTCCTAGGCTCAGGTGATCCTCCCAGGCAGAACCACTTCAACCTCCCAAGTAGCTAGAACTACAGGCATGTGCCACCATGCCCGGCTAATTTTTTTGTATTTTTTGTAGAGATGGGGTTTTGCCATGTTGCCCAGGCTGGTTTCAAACTCCTGGGCTCGGCCAGGTGTGGTGGCAGATGCCTGTAATCCCAGCACTTTGGGAGGCGGAGGCGGATGGATCACAAGATCGAGACCATCCTGGTTAACACGGTGAAACCCCGTTTCTACTAAAAATACAAAAAATTAGCCGGGCGTGGTGGTGGGTGCCTGTAGTCCCAGCTACTCGGGAGGCTGAGGCAGGAGAATGGCGTGAACCCGGGAGGCAGAGCTTGCAGTGAGCCAAGTTCGCGCCACTGTACTCCAGCCTGGGGACAGAGCGAGACTCCATCTCAAAAAACAACAACAACAACAAAACAACAACAAAAAACAAACAACAACAAAAATAAATAAAAAAAAAAACCATAATAATAGTGATAAGGCCGGGTGCGGTGGCTCACACCTGTAATCCCAGCACTTTGCGAGGTCGAGGCGGGAAGATCACGAAGTCAGGAGTTTGAGACCATCCTGGCCAACACAGTGAAACCCCATGTCTACTAAAAATACAAAAATTAGCTGAGCGTGGTGGCGGGCGCCTGTAATCTTCTCAGACACCCAACCACCAGCTCCTGAGCCGCGACAACTCCGTGTCACCTTTTCACCGCCCCCCACCTAGCCCCAAATCCCCAATCCAGCCCCAAATCCCCGATCCAGCTCCAAATTCCCGCTCCAACCCCCAATCCGCGATCCCAAATCTGCGATCTAGCCCAGAATCCGCGATCCAGCCAGGTCCACCACAGCCTTCAGCAGCGACACTCCCAGCCTCCGACCTCTTAGACCCACTGAGCCTCGCAAGGGCATTAGCAGCGCCCCTGCACGGCGGTGGCCGCTCGGCTCCCAGAAGCCGCTCCCAGGCGGCGCGCCGGCAGTTGGGGCTCCAGCCCCGGGCAGTCGCCGCTGGGCTCGCGGGTTCTCCTGAGCTGGTCCGGGCTGCCCCAGGACCACAGGCGCAGGATCGCAGGCGCGCAGCCTGCCCGGCCTCAGGAGCAGGGCCTGTCTGGCCGTGCAGCCCCACTTAATCTTAATAGCAAATAAAACTCAACAGTATGCTGTGGTATATTCTACAATGATTCTACACAATTGTAGATTGCATTAGAATAATGTTTTTTAAAATTATTTTCTCGGTAACAAATGGACACTCGAAATTTTATTTATTTTAATTTTATTTATTTTTTAAACAGAGTTTCACTCTTGTTGCCCAGGCTGGAGTGCAATGGCGCGATCTCAGCTCACTGCAACCTCCGTCTGCCGGGTACAAGTGAATCTCCTGTCTCAGCCTCCTAAGTAGCTCAGATTACAGGCATGCGCCACCACACCCGGCTATTGTGTGTGTGTGTGTGTGTGTGTGTGTGTGTGTGTGTGTATTTAGTAGAGACAGGGTTTCATCATGTTAGGCTGGTCGCAAACTCCTGACCTCAGGTGATCCACCTGCCTTGGCCTCCCAAAAGGCTGGGATTACAGGAGTAAGCCACTGCGCCTGGGCAAAATTTTATTTTTTAATAATGCCAAGTGATTTCATTTTAAATTAAACTGCACCATAAATTGGATTATTTTCCTGCATGAGTACCTTGCTCTTCAAACAAAAACATTTTTTGAAGACCAAATATATTGCATAGTTTTTTTTAAAAAAGCTCTGCCTGTGTGCATTGGCTTACGCCTGTAATCCCAACACTTTGTGGAGGCTGAGGGAGGAGGACTGTTTGAACCCATGAGTTTGAGACTGGCCTGGGCAACACAGTGAGACACTGGCTCTACAAAAATCTTTCTTTAAAAGTTAGCCAGGTATGGTGGTGCACAGCCATGGTCCCAGACACTTGGGAGGTTGAGGTGGGAGGATAGCTTGATCCTGGGAGGTTGAGGCTGCAGTGAGCTACGATTGCACTCCCGCCTGGGTGACAGAGCAAGAATCTGTCTCAAAAAATTTTCTTACTGTATAAGAAATTATGAATGACATTTATTTTGTTAAAACAGTATATTTTATCTACAAAAGGAGTAAAAGACAGTAATAGAAAAATTGGCACATAAAGAAACAAAAATGCTAAAAAATTCAAATTTACCAATAATCCTATCACCTAAATTGATAATTTTTAATATAATTAAATGTAGGATTTTAAAATAAATTTCTTTTAATTTATTTATTTAAACATATAGATTATTTTTAGACCCTCTTCAGACATCCCCTGTTGAATAAGTTCCATGATTTACAGGCTTACTCTCTCTATTGTTAAATACTGTATTGCTTTCAATGAACAACATTTTTTATAAACATATTCACAGAAACAAATTTGGGCACATTGAGACATGTTTTCGTTTCAAAAAGTCCTAGCACTTTAATTACTGTGTAAAGAGATATTAGTGTATAATTTTCACACATATTGACTAACATCCCTGCAAAATGTTGAATCAATTTATACTTTCAGCACCAATCGGCAAATTAATGTCCATTATGCTTTAGCTTCACCAAAACTGATACCTATATTTTATTTTGCTAGACAAAAATACATATTATCTTAATTTGCATAACTGTATTTAATAGAAAGATTAAATTTTTTTCAGATGTATCATAGGGCATCATTTTTTCTTGAGTCTGGTGGGTGCTTAGTTCCTTTAAAGCATTAATCATGTATACATTAATTTTATGTGCAAAACAATCATTAAGTACAATTTGAAATATGGAAAAATAAATAGCTGGATTAAGAAAAAAACAAATAGAGCTTCTGGAATTAAAATAATCACTAATGGAATTTCAAAACACAGCTGGAATCTTTAACAATAAACTAGACTAAGCAGAAGAAATAATTTTAGACTTTGAAAACTGGTCTTGCCAAGTAACCCAGACAAAAATAAAAGAAAAAAGAACTGAAAAACAAAGCCCTTAAGAAATATGGGATTATGTAAAGTGACCAAACTTATAACTTATTGGCATTCCTACAACAGAAGAATAAAAAGTAACCAACTAGGAAAGTATATTTAAGGGAATAATTTAGGAGAAGTTCTCTAGTCTTGCTAGAAAGGTTGACATTCAGATATAAGAAATTCAGAGAACACCTGTGGGATAGTAAATAAGATGCCCATTCCTAAGGCATCCACAGTCATTAGAATAGCCGTGGTCAATGCACAAGAAAATATATTAAAGGCAGCCCAAACAAAGGGCCAAATTACCTATAAATTAAATTAGATTAACAACAGACTTATCAGCAGAAACTCTGCAACCTAGAAAAGATTGGGGCCTAGCATTAGCCTTCTTAAAGGAAAAAAAATGCCATCCAATAATTTCTTTTTTTTGGAGACAGAGGCTCACTTTGCCACCCAGGCTGGAGTGCAGTGGTGTGATCTCAGCTCACTACAACCTCCGCTTCCTGGGTTCAAGCAATTCTCCTGCCTCAGCCTCCCCAATAGCTGGGATTACAGGTGCCCGCCACCACACCTGGCAAATTTTGGTATTTTTAATATAGATGGAGTTTCTTCATGTTGGCCAGGCTGGTCTTGAACTCCTGACCTCAGGTGATCTGCCTGCCTCAGCCTCCCAAAGTGCTAGGATTACAGGCATGAGCCACTGCACCCAGCCATGCAAGAACTTCATAACCTGCCAGATTGAGCTTCATAAAGAAAGGAAAATAAGATATTTCCAGACAAGAAAATGCTAAGGGAAGTCATTACCTCCAGACTGACTCTAAAAGAAATGTTTAAAGGAGTTTGACTAGTGAAAATAAAAGAATGATACTTGCTACCATAAAAGCACACGTGAATACAAAATGTACAGAACCTATAAAGCAATTAAACAATTGAGACTACAAGGTAACTAGCTAATGCTATAAAAGGAAGAAAACCTAACACATCAATATTAAGCTTGAATGTAAATGGTTGAAATGCTCCACTTAAAAGACACAGAGTGGCAAACTGGATAAAAAAACAAGACACTTCTGCTGCCTTTGAGAGACCCATCTCATGTGTAATGATACCAACAGGCTCAAAGTAAATGGATGGAAAAAGATTCATCACATAAATGAAAAACAAAAAAGGAGAGGTATTGCTATTCTTGTATAAGATAAAACAGACATTAAACTAACAACAGTAAAAAAAATACAAAGAATGACATTATATAATGATGAAGTGTTCAATTCAACAAGAAGACTTAACTGTCTTAAATATATATGCAGCCAACATTGGAGCACCCAGATTTTTAGAATAAATATTACTAGACCTAAGAAAAGAGATACACAGCTGTACAATAATTGTGGAGGACTTCAACACCCCACCGACAGCAGTAAGCAGATTAGTTAGGCAGATTATTAGGCAGAAAACTAACAATGAAACTGTGGACTCAAATTGGGCTCTTGACCAAACAGACCTAATAGATATCTACAGAATACTCCACCCAGAAACCATAGAATGTACATTTTTCTCATTTGCACATGGAACATTCTCCAAAATTGACCACATGCTCAGTCATAAAATAAGCCTCAATAAATTTTTAAAAATCACAACTATATTAAGTATCTTCTCAGACCACTGTGGAATAAAATTAGAAGTCAATATCGAGAACTCGCAGAACCACAGAGGTACATGGAAACTAAACAATCTGCTCGTGAATGACTTTTGTGTAAATAACAGAATTAAGGCAGAAATTTAAAGAAATTCCTGAAACAAATGAAAATAGAAACATAACATACCAAAACGTCTGTGATACAGAAAAAACAATGTTAAGAGGAGAGTTTATAACACTAAATGCCTACATAAAAAGAGAGAAAGATCTCAAATTAACAAGCTAAAATAGCCAAACACACTAGAAAAGAACAAACCAAACCCAAAGCTAGTAGAAGGAAATAACAAAGGTTAGAGAATAAGGTAATGAAATCAGGACCAAAAAAGCCATACAAGGAGTCAGCAAAATTAAAAAGTTGGTTCTTTGCAAGGACACATACAAATGATAGATTGCTAGTTAGATTATGCAAGAAAAAAGAAGATTCAAATAAGCACAATCAAAAATGACAAATGAGACATTGCAAAGGATACCACCGACATAAAAAAGATCCTCAGAATATCTTTGTGTGCAGAAACTAGAAAACCTAGAGAAAATGGATACATTCCTGCAAACACACCACCTTCCAAGACTGAATCAGAAAGAAACCAAAAGTCCACTAGGGCAGTGCCAACAGGAAATGTGGGATTGAAGCCTCCACACAGAGTCCCCACTGGGGCACTACATACTGGAGCTGTGGGAATGGGGCCGCCACCTCGAGATCCCTGAATGGTAGAGCCATGGGAAACTTTCATCCTGAGCCTAGAAATACCACAGGCATGCAACTCTGATCCAAGACAGCAGCCATGGTGACTGTACACTGCAAAGCCACAGAGGCAGAGCTGCATAAGGTCTTGGGAACCCACCCCTTGCACAAGTGTGCCCTGGATGCGGGACATGAAATCAAGAATTATTTTGGAGCTTGAAGGTTTAATGTCTGCCCTACTGGGTTTCAGATTTGCCTGAGGCCTGTTGCCCCTTTCTTTTGCCCAACTTCTCCATTTGGGAATGGGAATATTTACCCAACACCTGTACTGCATTGAATATTGGAAGCAAATAAGTTGGTTTTGATCTCATAGGCTCATAGATGGAGGAATGTACCTTGAAGCTCAGATGAGATTTCGGACTTTTGAGTTGATGCTGAAACAGCTTGAGATTTTTGGGGACTACTGGGGGAGGATAATTGTATTGTGCAATATGAGAAGGACATGAGATTTGGGAGCCATAGGGATGAAATGACATTGTATTGTGCAATATGAGAAGGACATGAGATTTGGGGGCCATAGGGGTGAAATGACATTGTTTGGATGTGTTTACCCTCCAAATCTCTTGTTGAATGTGACCTTAAATGTTGGTGGTGGGCCTAGTGGAAGATGTTGAATCATGGGAGTGGACCCTTCATAAATTGCTTAGCTCCATCCCCTTGGCGATCAGCAAGTCCTTGCTCTGTTGTGTCACACGAGAGCTGGTTGTTTAAAACACCCTGCCATGTTCCCCTTCTTGCTCTTGATTTCTCTCTTGACACGTGATACACTGGCCCTCCCTTTGCCTTCCTCTGTGATTCGATGCTTTCTGAGGTCTCACCCAAACCTGAGCAGGTGCTGGTCCCATGCTTCTACTGCCTGCACAACTATAGACCAAATAAATATTTTTTCTCTATAAATTTAAAAAAATCTGAACAGACCAGTAGTTAATTATGAAACTGAATTTGTAATAAAAATATTTATCAAGCAGGAGAAGCCCAGGACTAGATGAATTCACAGCTGAATTCTACCAAACATACAAAAAAATATATGGTATCAATCTTACTGCAACCATTCTAAAACATTGAGGAGAAGGAATTCCTCTCTAACTCATTCTACAAAACCAGTATCATCCTGACACTAAAATCTAGCAAGGAAACAACAACAACAAACTACAGGCCAATATCTGATGAACATAGATGCAAATATCCTCAACAAAATGCTAGCAAACCAAATCCATCAGCATATCAAAAATGTAATTCATCGTGATTACATAGGTTTTATTCCTGAGATGCAAGGACTATTTAACATATGCAAATCAATAAATGTGATTTACCACATAAACAGAATTTAAAACAAAAATCATATGATTATCTCAATAGATGCAGATAAAAACATTCAATAAAATTCAACATCCTTGCCAGGTGCAGTGGCTCACACCTGTAATCCCAGCACTTTGGAAGGCAGAGGTGGGGCAATCAACAGAGGTCGGGACCAGCCTGACCAACATGGAGAAACCCCATTTAGAACTAAAAATGCAAAATTAGCTGGGCGTCGTGGCGCATGCCTGTAATCCCAACTGCTCAGAAGGCTGAGGCAAAAGAATGGCTTGAACCCGGGAGGTGGAGGTGGCAGTGAGCCAAGATCACACCACTGCACTCCAGCCTGGGCAACGGAGCGAGACTCCATCTCAAAAAACCAAACCAAAAACCAAACCAAAACAAAAAAACCCTGAAATCATATCAATTATTTTTTCTGACAGGAGTGGAAGAGTATTAAAAAATCAGTAACAGGAGGAATTTTTTTCCCGACCGTCTTTGGCTCCCTCTCTCGCCACCCTTTTTCTTCCTCCATCTACCCCAAAACTTTTTCCCCACCATTTTTTCCCCACTGTCTTTTTGCAAAGCCTTCTATACTTTACCGCTCACTTCCGTTTTCCCCACCCATCTACCCCAAAACTTGTCCCCACCGTCTTTTCTCCCTCTCTCTCTGGCCACCCTTTTTTTCCGCCTCCCGCTCTCATCATCCTCTTTTGCTCCTTCATCTCCCCAAAAACATTTCCCTCATCTTTTCCCAAAGCCTTCTCCCCACTCCTGCTGCTCGCCACCCTCTCTTTCCCCTTCCGTCTACCCAAAAACTGTTTCCCTATCGTCTTTTTTCCCTTCCTCCTTGCCACCCTTTCCCTTCTCCATCTACCCAAAAACATTTTTCCCGCCGTCTTTTTACAAAGCCTCTTCTCTACTCCTGCTCACCACGCTCTTTTAACCCATCTACCTCCCCAATTTTTCCCTGCCATCTTTTCACAAAGCCTTCCCCTCTTCCCGCTCTCCCTCTTCTTTCCTCTTTCCTTCTTGCCACCCTCTTTTTGCCCTCCATCTACCCCAAACTATTTTCCTCATCGCCTTTTTCCAGTCCTCTTTCCCCACTTCCTCTGGCCAAACTTTCTATTCTCCCCCCGCTTGTCACCCTCTTTTCCCCCTCCATCTACCCAAACACTTTTTACCCACTGTCTTTTCTTTCTACACTTTCTTTTCTGCCTATCGTCTTTTCGCAAAACCTTTTCTCTTTCCCGCTCGCCACCCTCTTTACCCTTCTCCCACTGGCCACCCTCTTTCCCCCCTCCATCTACCCAAAAGCTTCTCTCCTCACTGTCTTTTTGCAAAACCTTCTCTCCCTCCTGCTCGCCACTCTCTCTTCCCCCTCCCTCTCTGCAACCTCTTTTCTCCTCCCACTTGCCACCCTTTTGCCCCCTCCATCTACTCAAAATCTTTTTACCCACAGTCTTCTTTCCCTTTCTTCTCTCCCCACCATATTTTTGCAAACCTTCTCTCTCCTTCCTGCTCATCCCCGTTCCCCTCTCACGACCCTCTCTTACCCCCTTCCATCTACCCAAAAACTTTTTCCCCACCATCTTTCTGTGAAACCTTCTCTACCTCCTGTTCACCACCCTGTTTTTCCCCCTCCATCTACCCCCCAATTTTTTTTTCCCCAACATCTTTTCCTCATCGTCTTTATGCAATGCCTTCTCCGGCTCACCATCCTTTTTTCCTTTTGGCACTAACCACCCTCTTTACCCTTCCATCTATCCCGAAACTATTTTCCCCTTCCTACCTTTCCAGCCACACTACAGTGTCTGTCGCCACCAACTGCAGGGAGGCCAGCCACGGTGCAGCAGGCTACGGCCTCCAGTCTGTCCTGGTCCTCTAAGCCGGGCTCGGAGCAGCTCGGTGAGCAGACACAGAAGAACCTGGAATAGCCTGACTCTTCTTCAGCACCATTTATGTACTGAAGTTATGCATATGCGGTTCGTGGACTACACGTTCCAGGATTGGATAAGAGAAAGCCCAGAGGCCTACTCTGATTGGACTTTGTTATCATGTTCTGTTTGGATGAAAGAAAGTCTTAGGAAAACCAATCAGTGTATGAAAATAAAGTCCAATCAGAGAAGGCCTAGAGATTTTCTCTCACCCAATCAGAACATGTAGTCCAGAAACCATGCGCGTAACCCCATGTGCATGCTGAGGAGGCCTCATGCCAGTTTAGGGTCTCTGGTATCTCCCGCTGAGCTGCTCTGTTCCCGGCTTAGAGGACCAGGAGAAGGGGGAGCTGGAGGCTGGAGCCTGTAACACCGTGGCTCGTCTCGCTCTGGATGGTGGTGGCAACAGAGATGGCAGCGCGGCTGGAGTGTTAGGAGGGTGGCCTGAGCAGTAGGATTGGGGCTGGAGCAGTAAGATGGCAGCCGGAGCGGTAAGAGTGCAGCCTGAGCGGTAGGAGGGTGGCTGGCAGCTGGAGCTGCTCTTGACCGGCTAGAGGTCTAGGAGAAGGTGGGGACCGTGCCCAACACTGGCGGCTGTAGCCTTGGCCACCGCGGCTCGCCTGGCTGCAGTTGGAGGTGGCGACGGAGACTGCATCTCTGTTAGAGTAGTAGAAAGGTGGCAGGGTAGGTGCGCTCTCTGTGGCTGCACTGCCCGCTTGCGGGGTGGTGGGGGAGCGGGTTTGGTGTGCTTTTGGAGCTGCACTGCCTGCCGCAGGGGGCTGGTGGGTGGCACTATCAGGTGTTGAATTGCTGGCAGTGGGGCAGGTTTGCTGCGCTATCAGAGTCTACACTGCCTAAGGTGGTGGGGGGTTGGAGGCAGGTTGTGTGTACCGTCGTGCACTGCCAGCAGCGGGTGGTGGGGGATTAGGGGCATTATTAGCTGCTACACTGGCTGATGCAGGGGGCGGGTTTGGTGAGCTATCGTGAGCTACAATGTCAGCAACAATGCCAACTGGCAGGCAGTCGGGGGTGCTTTAGGGGAGCTGTGAAATGTTGCATTGTCTGTGGGGGAAAGGGGAAGGTGGGGTCCAGGGGTTTGTTGGGTGCACTACCCCGGGCGTTCACTGCCTGCGACAGGAGCAGACTGGGGGCGCTATCTGGGGCTATACTGCTTGTGGTCCGGGTGGGGGGCGGGTTTGATGGGGTGCTATTTGGTGCTGCAACACCCATGGTGGGGATAGGTTGTGGACACTATCAAGTGTTACACTGCCAGGAGCAGAGGGGTCATTTGGGGGCGCTATCAGTGTTACACTGCCTGCAGCAGTCTCTGGGTGTGTTGTGGGCACAATCCGGGGGCTAAGCTTGTGGTGGAGGGGGCAGGTTAGGGGCGCTATGGGGGGAAGCTGCACTGCTGCTTCCAGCGGCAGGTTGTGGAGGTGGCCACGACAGTGGTGGCCTCTGAGGAAGGGGCCCTTCTCCTCTTCCCGGACTCAAGGCTCTAGAGTGTGAACAACTTCTGCTCGTGTTGGAGCGTGGAGGGTGCACAGAGTTTTTGTGGCAATCCTCTGACCACCGCAGGGCCCTCACACCCACCATGGTTACTCGGCCCTTGCCCTCTTGCTCTGTGTTGTGGGGACCATCTGGGAGCCCCAGGCATGGAGTAGTGGGCACCACGGGGGCTCAGGGTCCTGTGGGTGGAGGAGTAAGGAATGGGAACTGGTAATTGGGTTGGGAGGACTGGCTGGGTCTGAGTTTCTGCTGTTCTTGCTCCCCAAGGAGCTGCGGACACTGTGGTGTCTCCAGTCCCCACCCCAGGTCAGGAGGCCAGCTCGGTCTAGGAGGAGAGGCTGGACTTTGGAGGGTGGGTGTAAGTGCCTTCGCTGAAACTGGCCCCAGCCACCCAGTGGGCAGCATGACAGGGTGAGGCTCTAACACTGCCACTTTCTGCATCCTATTGTAGGTTTTTCTGGCATTGTCTGCCCAGCTGCTCCAAGCCAGACTGATGAAGGAGGAGTCCCCAGTGGTGAGCTGGAGGTTGGAGCCTGAAGATGGCACAGCTCTGTGATTCATCTTCTGCGGTTGTGGCAGCCACGGTGATGGAGACGGCAGCTCAACAGGAGCAATAGGAGGGTACCCATGGAGGCCAAGTGGTAGGATCCTTGGAGGGTGGGCAGGTGCATGGAAGGTGACAGCAGCGCTGATTCCTTTGGTGTCGGCGCAATGGTGGCAGCAGCAGCAAGTCTAGGGGCCAGGAAGGGGAAGTAGGAGAGCTTTGGGGCCCGGCCTGGCCTGGGGTGGGTAAGAAGCTGCTGGTTCTGTACTGCAGGCCTCAGTGACAGTGGTGGAGGTGCAGCCAGGGCAAGGAGGAGTCCTCCCCCTTCTCCTGTGGTCTCTGGTCTCTGGAGGGTGCCCTCCTTCTGCTAGCATCTGAGTCAGGTGTGAGTGGCAGCATTGTTTCATTCTTAACAGAATTTAGGGGCTTACTATTTGTGTATCTTTTTGTTTTTGGTTGTGATAACCCTTAAGGGACAAAAGGCTTCTTTGGCTGGGTTTTGGTGTCATGGGATCCCCCCATGTAAGACACAGGGTGCTTTCCTGGCAAGCTGTGTGTTGGAGGGAGTTCCCCAAGGGGAAGAAAGGGAACCTCTCAGGAAGGTGGCTGCTGTGGCAGGTCCCCTGCCTCTGGGCACCCTTTGGGCCACCTAGTTTCCCCTGTGGAAGTGGGGAGGCTTAGACCAGTATCACTTGTATCATCAAAGAGGCATCCTGGCTGGGCCAGTTGATTTGACCTTCCCACTTCTTCAGCCCACCTGCCCATGGTGTCACCTGGGGAAACTGGAACCTCAGGCCACAGGGGCAGAGGCTTCTTCGGCAGGCTGATTGCTATAGAGGATTCTGTTCTGCCTGCTGCTCAGGAGGGCTTCTATGGCCACCGATCACTGCAACCTCCGCCTCCTGAGATC
>NC_000022.11:11118987-11160921 GCF_000001405.40 Homo sapiens
GATCACATGGACACAGGAAGGGGAATATCACACTCTGGGGACTGTTGTGGGGTGGGGGGAGGGATAGTATTGGGAGATATACCTAATGCTAGATGACGAGTTAGTGGGTGCAGCGCACCAGCATGGCACATATATACATATGTAACTAACCTGCACAATGTACACATGTACCCTAAAACTTAAAGTATAATAAAAAAAAAGAAAGTATTGTAAAATAATTAAATAGAACACCTAGAAAAAACTTTAAAATTTACTCAACTGAAAAGAAACCCACTAAGTACACAAATAGCAATCTAGACAAAGCTGAAGAGAGAACACAGCAAAGTAGTAGATATGAGGAAATTATTTAAGAGCATAGCACACACAAAAAAAAACGAGGTGGAAAATGAGAGATTTAGATTATGGAAAAGATCTAAAACACAACTAATGGTAGTTTCAGAAACATAATTGAAAGAATGAAGAAGATGTAATATTTGAGAAGAAAACTGGCTTCAAATTTTACAGAATTGATTAGGGTTTTTATTGATTTGGACACAGGAAGTCAAATGAGTTCTAATCACGATTAAGTAAAAATAGATACTTAGATAAAATGTTGAGAAACTATAGACTACCAAAGGCAAAAATAAAATCTTAAATAATCTAGACAGAGAAAGAGAGATTAATCATAATTGAATAAACAATAGAGCAGATTCTCAATTCTTATCAGCAACAATAGAAGATGGAAGATAATTAAATAAAGTCTTCAAAGTACAGAGATAAATAAAACATTCAATGTTGAATTCTGCAGTCAGTTAACTTTCACTCGAACAAAAGACAAATGAAAGATATTGTCAAACAAACACATTTAAGAACATATGCCATTTTTTACCAGGGAAAAATCTACTGAAAGATATGCTTTAGAAATATGACATAGAACCAAAAAAGATGGAACAATGTGCAAAGAAATTGGTAAAATGTAGGTTAGTCTAAACAGGTATTTGTTGTGTAACACATTACTAACGAAAATTGTTAATCAGAGGATATAAAAATAAGGTTGGGAGGTGACATGAAAAGGTTGGCAATTTATTTCCACACCAAAACTCCCCCCAGAAATTGCAGAAATACCAAAAACAATCATTTCAGGACCCTGAAAACTCATCAAAGGCAGTTATCAAATTTAAGAAGCATTTATTCTTGAAAAAAGTGTTAGGGTTTTGGGTAGGTTTGGTAAAAGTCTGAGCCCTTCCTGACTGGGGTTGCTCCCTGATATGGTTTGGCTTTGTGTCCCCATGCAAATCTCATCTTGAATTGTACTCCCATAATTCCTATGTGTTGTGGGAGGGACCTGGTGGGAGATAATTAAATTATGGGGGTGGCTCCCCCCCCATACTGTTCTCGTGGTAGTGGATAAGTCTCACAAGATCTGATGGCTTTATCAGGAGTTTCTGCTTTTGCATCTTCCTCATTTTCTCTTGCCGCCACCATGTAAGAAGTGCCTTTCACCTCCCGCCATGATTCTGAGGTCTCCTCAGCCACCTGGAACTATAAGTCCAATTAAACCTCTTTTTCTTCCCAGTCCTGGGTATGTCTTTAACAGCAGAATGAAAACGGACTAATACACTCCCATCTCTCTTCTCACCCCCAACCTCAGTTGGGAAAAACTAGTTTGACCAGTTTGAAGCTGGATGTAAAACCCAGCAGCTTTCCTGTTAGGGCTGGGGGCACGGGTGGATTTGGTATGGAGTAGAGGGAAGAAATCAATGGTTTTGCCAGTTAAATACAGCAGAGTGGTTTGGGAATGAACAGAGAGAATTGCAGATTTGCTAGTCTGAGGTTGCAGTTTCAATTGGGGAGGTGGAAGACAAGACAAAAATTTAAATGAGAGATCCTGAGGGTCAATAGGTGCAGCAAACCACCATGGCACATGTATACCTGTGTAACAAACCTGAATGTTCTGCACATGTATCCTGGAACTCAAAGTAAAATTAAAAAAGAAAGAAAGAAAGAGAGAAAGAAACAAAGGAAGAAAGAGGAAGAAAGAAAGAGAGAGAAAGAGAGAAAGAAAGAAGAAAGAAAGAAAGAAAGAAAGAAAGAAAGAAAGAAAGAAAGAAAGAAAGAAGAAAGAAAGAAAGAAAGAAAGAAAGAAAGAAAGAAAGAAAGAAAGAAAGAAAAGAAAAGAAAAGAAAAGAAAGACCCACATGCAAGGCTAGACTTTTCCAGTTCCAAGTTCCAATTCTCTCACTGAGAAGAGTGGCTCACTCTGCCTAAACTGTTTATACAAACAATGTGGTTTACTCTGAACAGCTGCTCTTCCTCTGGGAGTCTGGAATTCTGGCACATGTGAAGGAGAGTAACTTCCATAAAATCCTGAGTACTGAGTCTCTAATGAGACTCTGGTCCTGGTAGATGACATTGCACATGTGCTGTCAAAATTTCATGCTGGGAAAGAGAAACACATCCTTGTAACTCCACAGGAGATGATTCCGAAAGTTTGAGAAAAGTTCTCCACACATATGGCCAATTGGAAAAGTATGGAAGTGCAGGAAAGACTCAAGAGAGTATGACAAAAAGTAAAAATGAAGTAAGACTTGAGTATTAATTGCAACTTTGAATGCATTCACCCACCCACCCATAGATTATTTGGCAGAGAGTGAAAGCCTTACTAGCTTTAATATAATGTCTCTCCAAAATCAAGCTATGCAACAGACACAAAGGAAATCCCTAGAAAGACAGGCTAAAACAACAATAACAACAACAACACAATATAAAAGACATCAATGCTGAAAAACACTGGGCAGAAGGATTACACAGCACAAGTATAAGCCAATTACCAAAACAGAACAACAACAAAGACAATAACAAATAAAAACCAAATCCAGATTTGCTATAATGTGTAATTAAAGAGTTTAGTTTTCAATTAAAAATTATCAGACATGTAAGGAAACAGGAAAATATGGCTCATACTCTGGAAAAAAAAGCAGTGAATAGAAACTGTCTCAATTCAGATATTGGATTTAGAAAGAAAGTTTTCAAAGTATATATTATAAATATGTTCAAATTAAAAATATGATAATGTGCTGTCTAGTAGAGAATGTGAATAAGGAGACAGAATATGTTTAAAAATAGAATCTAGAATTGAAAAGTACAACAGTTAAAGTGAAAAAATCACTAGCGAGGTTCAATAGCATATTTGACCTTGTGAAAGAAAGTATCAGTGACCTTGAAGATAGACCAATAGAGGTTAATCAATCTGAAGAACAAAAAGAAAAAAGAATGAAGGATAATAAACAGATCCTCAGAAACTTATGGGATACCATCAAGAGCACTAACATATGCATAATGGGGATTCCAGGAGAAGAGAGAGATAAGAGGGCAGAAAAATATTTGAAAACATAATGTCTGAAAACTTGAAAAATGCTATGTAAAACATTAATCTTCAGATATAAGAAGGCAAACAAATCTCGAGTAGGATAAACACAAAGAGATTCACACCTAGAGCCATCCTTGTCAAATTGGTGAAAACCAAGGATAATAAGAAAATCATGAAAGTAGCAAGAGATGACTTATCACATACAGGGGAACAATAATATTATCAATACTGGCATTTTTATCTGAAAAAAATGGAGGCCTTATGAGGCGACATTTCAAAAGTGGAGGGAAAAATTACTGTCAATTAAGAATTCTGTATCCAGTTAAATGATCCTTCAAAAATGGAGCTGAAATAAAGACATTTCCAGATAAATAAAAATAAAAAGAACTTATCCTTGCTAAAGAAACACTAAAGAAAATGATTTTAAGATAAAAGAATATGACACCACATGGCAACTTGAACCTATAAGGAATAAACGGCATGGGAAATGGTAAATAAATTTGTAAGTATAAAAGATTGTATGTGTGTGTGTGTGTGTATTCTGATTTCATCTCTTTTTTTAAAAAAGCATCTGATTATTATAGGCAATAACTATAACAATACTGCTGAGTTCATAGCATATAAGAGATACATTGGATCAAAGTTGCTATATAACACTGGAATTAAGTAAAAATTATTAAACCAAAGTAGATTGTAAAAAGTGAAGATGATTGATTATTATAATCCCCAAAGGTACTTGGGAGGCTGAGATAGAAGTATTGCTTGAGGCTAGGAGTTTGAGACTAGCCCAAGCAACACAATGAAACTCTGTTGATATAGTTTGGATATGTGTCCCTGCCCAAATCTCATGTTGAATTGTAATCCCCAAAATTGGAGATAGGTCCTGCTGGGAGGTGAATGGATCATGGGGGCAGATTTCTCATGAATCATTAGCACCGGCTAATTTGGTATTTTTAGTAGAGACAGAGTTTCTCCATGTTGGTCAGGCTGGTCTTGAACACCTGACCTCAGGTGATCCACCCGCCTCAGCCTCCCAAAGTCCTGGGATTACAGGCATGATCCATTATGACTGGCCTAATCTTTACTTTCTAAAAATTATATTAAAATTGATATTTCTCTATTATCTAATCATAAATTATATCAAATATGCTGTTTTGAATTTTATTTTTCCCTTTAAACATAAAGACACACATTCAGTTCATTGTGCTAGATAAATTACCAGTGCGATCACAAATTAAGAAATGCAATTCAAAGAATTTTGCATACAAGGAGTCCTGAAAGTGTTAATAACTTTTGATGCAAAGATAATTTTATGAAAGTAATAGAAGACTAAAAAAGGTACAAAATAACTATTATGTAAGTATTTTCCTTTTTCTGAATCACCCATGATTACTTTTTCCACCAAGCAAAAACTAACTGCATACTTCAGACCTGTCTCAAATCTCCCCAGCCTCTTTTCCTAAACCTCCCCAGCCTCTCAGGACAGACAGGCTGCTCCTGTATTTTGTGCATTCTGCTATTTTTAGCAAGAGGCCTATTTTGTCAGTGTTGTCTGAATAGTATTTGCCAACTCTCAGACTTTCAGTCACTTATTTGTTTATTTATTTATTTATTTGTCTCCTTTTCTTGTATTTCTCTTTTCCTTTTCTTTCCTTTCTTTTTCCCTTTCCTCCTCCCTTCCTTTGCTTACTTATTTTTTTTCCCTTTAATTCCCATTCACTATTTCCATGACTGTCAAATAGTAGGTTGATCCTTTAAAATATTCCTTTTTTAAAATTTATTGTACTTTAAGTTCTGGGATACATGTGCAGAACGTGCAGGTTTGTTACATAGGTATACACGTGCCATGTGGTTTGCTGCACCCATCTACAATATATCTTAAAATGAATAAAAGTGGAAACACACAGGAGACAGGGTGTATGGGGTGAGTGGGTTGCCAAGTGGATGGTGGCAGGGTGCTCCAGGGTGGCCAGTGGGGCTAAGTGTTGTGTATTCCAAGCATGGTGGGGTTCCTGCCTTCCTGTGTGGCAGACTGTGGCATCAGGTAACAGCCACTCAGTGCCCACCCTGGCTCCTCCATTGCCTTGTTCTCAGCCCCTGACATCCAGCCCACACCTGGAGATTGAGCTGCACCCACTGCTCTGGGTCTCAGCCCTGTGATCACCTCAGTAGATATTCCGAGCTTGGCTATACAGGCAACACTGAGCCATAGTTTACTATTCTTTCATGCATTTCTATCAGAGAGTCAGCAAAGGTAGTTGACAAAGCCCAAGGGAGAATGTTGAGGGGAGTTGATGACCTGGACTTTTTCATACAGGATGAAGCCATTGATAAATCTATGTATGCTACAAAGTGGTCAATATGACATGGAATCACTGAAGACTGGGATATTATGGAAAGGTTCATGGAGCAAGTGGTTTTTAAATGTCTTTGAGCAGAATCTGAGGACCATTATTTTTTAATGACAGAACTTCCACTGAATACACTAGAAAATACAGAGCATTTTTGCAGAAATTATGTTCGAATTATTTAATGTACCAGGATTCTACATTGCAGTTCAGGAGGTACTAGCCCTGGAAGTATCTTGGACATCTCAACAAGTGGGTGAATATATGTTAATGAGTATAGTCATTGACAAAGGAGATGGAGTCACCCTTGTTCTCCCAGTTGTAGAAGGTTATGTAATTGGGAGCTGCATCAATCACATCCTGATTGTAGGTGATACTGTGTATTTCATTCAACAGCTGCTAAGGGAGAGGGAGGTAGGAATCCCTCTTGAGCAGTCACTGGAGAACACAAAAGCCATTAAGGAGAAATACTGTTACATTTGCCCTGATATAGTCAAGGAATTTGCTAAGTATGATGTGGATCCCTGGAAGTGGATCAAACAGTACACAGGTATCAATGTGATCAACCAGGAGAAGTTCATAATAGACGTTGGTTACAAAAGGTTCCTGCAACCTGAAATATTTTTTTACCCAGAGTTTGCCAACCCAGACTTTATGGAATCCATCTTGAATGTTGTTGATGAATACAAAACTGTCCCATTGATGTGCATTGTCCACTGTATAAGAATGTTGTTCTTTCAAGGGGTTTGACCATATTCAGGGATTTGAATCTCAACTACAGAGAGATTTGAAGAGTGGTACATGCCAGATTAAAACTCAATAAGGAGCTCAGTGGCAGGAGAATCAAACCTAAGCTTACAAAGGTTCGGGTGGTAATCAATCACATGCAGCACTATGCCTTATGGTTTGGAAGCTTAATGCTAGCCTCAACTCTGGAGTTATTTCAGGTCTGTCACACCAAGAAGGACTATAAAGAATATGGCCCCAGCGTCTGCCACCAGAGCCTTCTCTTTGGAATAATGTCTTAGTGTCTGCCTTGAAAGCATCATTTAATAGTGTCATGTTGGGGAACAAGTGTCCTTCAGAACCCAGAGAAGACTACCATTTCTAAATGACATTTGGTGTTGATGTCTGAGCAGCATGCTTGCACCACCTAGTGCATGAGGCACAGGGCAGAGTCATTTCAGTAAAAGCCATTTCTTTATGTGTTGACTGTTGTATGCCCACTCCTCCTTCTCTCACTCCCTTTCTTCATGCTTCCCCAGTTTCCCTCCTCCTTTTCACTTGAACTTTTTTGTTGACAAATACCATTCTGAAGGAATTCAAATGTGACTCTGAAAATTGTTAAGAGGAAAAAAAATTTCAAAAATGGCCCAAAATAGTTCTCCCCCAGGAAAGAATGCAGTGGTATAAATCCTTTTCCCCCAGCTTATTTTTATAAATAAAATGTTATAAACTTAAAATACAAAAAAAAATAACATAGCAATATTTACAGGATGCAGTTAAAGCAGTGTATAGAGGACAATGTATAGCTTTAAAAACAGAAAGAAAAAATAATCTAAAATTGATAATTAAAACTTCCATCTTAAGACTCTAGAAGAAGATGAGTAAACCAAGCCGAAAGTAAGTAGGATGAATGAAATAAAAATGTCACAGTGGAAAACGATAAATACAGAACAGGATAACATTAAAAACAACCAAAGAAACCCAAAATTGCTTATTTCAGAAAGTCAAGAGATAAATAATATTTAGTTAAATTGACCAAGAAAAAAGAAAGAAGACACTAATTCCCAAAATCAAGAATCAAAGAGAAATATCACCACAGACCCTACCCTTAAAAGGATGTTAAGAAAATAGCATAATAACTTTAAGGCAAAAAATTTGACAACTTAGATAAAATAGAACAATTCCTAGAAAGACACAAATTACCAAAACTGACTCAAGGAAAAAGAAAAAAAAACAAATACCAATATCAAGTAAAGAAATTGCATCAGTAATTTCAAATCTTCCTATAGAGAAAAAATATACTTCACTGGTGAATTCTATCAAACTATTAAGGGAGGAAATAATACCAATGTTACAAAAACTTTATTCAGCAAATAGAGGATGAAGGAAACTTCCCAACTAACTTTATTTCATTTGATATCAATATTACCCTGATATCAAAACAAGACAAAGACATTACAAGAAAACACAGCTATATACCAATATCCCTTGTGAACATAGACATAAAAATTCTTAACCAAATATTAGCAAATGTAATTGAGCAACATATGAAAAGGATTTTATACCATAATCAAATGAAGTTTATCTCAGGAATGTGAGGTTGACTTAACATCCAAAAATCAATGTAATAAACTATATTAACAGAATAAAGGACAAAACCATATGATCACCTCAATAGATGCAGAAAAGAATTTGACAGAATTCAACACTCATATATTAAAAAAACTCATCAACTTATCAATAGAAGGGAACTTCTTCAAATGATCAAGGCATCTACCAGAAGCCTATAGACAACATACTTAATGGTAAGAATGCGCTTCCCTCTAGATTAGGAAACATGCAAAGATATCTGTGTTTAGCACTTCTATTTAACAATGCACCACAGGTCTTAGTTTGTGCAATAGTCAAGGAAAAAAGGTATGGAAAAAAGACAATTCTTTTTATTGTTAGCCTTGTATGCAGAAAATCCTAAGGAACACACCCACACACACACCCACATACCACACCCCCTCCCAGACTTACTAGAACTAAGAGGGGGGCTTAGTAAGTTTGTAGAGTATATGATCAATATACAAAAATCGGTTATATATATAGTAGCAACAAACAATACAAAGATGAAATAAAGAAAACAATTCCAATCACAATAGCATCAAAAATAAATGTCTTAGTTTGTTTTATGTTGTTATAATAGAATACCTGAGACTGTATAAAGAGGTTTATTTAGCTCATGTTTCTCCAGACTGGGAAGTTCAAGAAGCATGGCACCAGTATCTGCTTAGCTTCTGGTGAGGGCTTTAGCAGTGCATCACAACATGGCAGAAGACCAAAGAGGAAGTGGGAATGTGCCAAGAGGCCAAACACAAGGTACAACCTTGTACAATGGGTTGCTTTATAACAATCCATTCTCAGGGCAACTTATCTATTCCCACAAGAACCAATCCAGTTTCATGAGAGCAAGAACTCACTCACTGTATGAGGACTGCACCAAGCTGCTCAAAATGGCAGAGCCCCCATGACCCAAGCATCTCCCATTAAGCCCTGCCTCTTAAAGGTTCCAACATGATTTTTGACAGAAACACGGAAACCATGGCATTCCACACTTGGAACCCCAAACTCATGTCCCTCTTACACTACAAAATGTAATTATTCAATCTCAGTGGTCCCCAAAGTCTTAATGTATTCCAGTAACAATTCAAAGGTCAAAGTCCAAAGTCTCATATAAGACTCAAGGCAAGTTCCTTCTAGCTATGAGCCTGTAAAATAAAATAAAAAAAAATTAAAAAAAATAAGTTATTTACTTCCAAGATACAATGGTGGAATAGTCATATGGCAGACAGTCCCATTCCAAAAGGGAGAAATAGGCCAAAAGAAGAAAGAGGTAACAGGCCTCGAGCAAGTTCAAAACTCAGCAGGGCAGACACTAAATCTTAAAGCTCCAGAATAATTCTCCACTCCATGTGCTACCTCCTGGGCACAGTGGGGAGTTTTTATCCCTAAAGCCTTGGGCAGCCCCACCTCCATTGCTTTGTTGGGCATAGCCACATGGCTACTCTCACTGGTTGGAGTTGGATACCTGGGCCTTTCCAGGCTGAGGTTGCATGGTGGCAATGGCTCTATAGTTCTGGAGTCCCAGTGGTGGTCCACTTCATGGATTCACTAGGCATTGCCCTGGTACAGACTCTTTGTGGCAGCTCCAACCCTACATTTCTGCTCAGCATTGCCCTGGGGGAGGTACACTGCAGTGGCTCTGGCCCTGCAACAAGTCTCCACCTGAGCTCCCAGTCTTTTCAGTACATTCCTTAAAATCTAGGTGGCAGCCACCATGCCTCCACTTCTCTTGTATTCTGCACATCTGCAAAACTAGTACCACATGGTTGTAAAAGCCATCAAGGCTTACTGCTTGCACCCTCCAGAGTGTTGTCATGAGCTGTATCTGAGGCTGCTTGATCCATGACTGCGTGCCACCAAGGTTTATGGTTTGTATCTTGTGGAATGGCAGCCTGAGCCACACCTGAGTATGATTGTGCCATGGCTGGGGTGGCTGCTGAGGGCTGTGCCAGAAATTGGGGAGCAGGATCTCAAAACAGCACAGGGCAGTGATGCATGGGTTCTGTCTCTTAAAACCATTCTGTCCTCCTAGACCTCTGGAGAGGCAACCTCAAAAATTTCTGAAATGTCTTCAGGGCCTTTAAAAAATTGTCTCAATAATTGTCAACTGGCTTTCTTCTCTCAGTGCTAATCTCTTTAGTATTGGTTGTTCTGCTGCACCCTTGGATTCCTCGCCTGAAAATGCTCTTTCATTCTCTTCCGCATGGCCAGGCTATTAATTTTCAAATTTTTGTGTTTGCTTCCCTTGTCATTTTGCATTTCACTGAATGTAGTAAGGAGTAACTACATAGCTGCTCTATATTTTGCTTAGAAATGTCTTCTGCCAGGTACCCTAGTTCATCAACCTTAAGTTTGGCCTTCCACAAAACCTTAGGGCAAAAAGCCTTAGAAACAACACAGCCAAATTTTTGCTATGGTCTAACAAGGATGACTTGGTCTCCAGTTCCTAATACCTTGTTCCTCATTTCTATCTGAGATCTCATTAGAATGCCTTTGCTGTCCATCTTTTATCAGCATTGTGGTAATCACTACTTAACCAATCTCTAAGAAATTCTAAACTTTCTCTCATCTTTTTGTTGTCTTTTGAGCCCTCACTGAAATTACCCTTAATGCTCTGTTTATGGCAATACAGTCTTTTTCTAGTCTGCTCCTTCAAACTTTTCCAACTTCTGCCCATTACCCAGTTCCAATGATGCTTCTGCATTTTTGAGAATCTAAATAGCAACATCCCACTCTCAGTACCAATTTTCTGTCTTAGTCCGTTTTGTGTTGCTATAACAGAATACCGGAGACTGAGTAATTTATAAAGAGGTATATTTGGCTTGCAGTTCTGCAGGCTGGAAAGAATGACACTGGCATCTGCTTGGGTTCTGGTGAAAGCTTTAGTGTTGTGTCACAACATGGTAGAAGAAGGTCAAAGGGGAGTAGGCATGTACCAGGAGGCCAAGCATGAAGCGTGACCTCACCATATGGCAACTCATTCTCATGGTAACTAATCCATTCCTGAGAGAACTAATCTCATAAGAGTGAGAACTCACTCACCAGTGTAAGAATAGTACCAAGCTGCCCACAAAGGAAGAACTCCCAAGACCCAAACACTTCCCATTAGGCCCCACCTCTTAAGCGTTCCAACAAGAGTTTTGGTAGAGACACTCAAACTATAGCAATAATAATTAGGAATAAATTTAACAAAATAAGTGTGAAACCTTTGCACTGAAAACTAAAAAACATCACTCAGATAAATGCCTAAATAAATGGAGAGATATATCATGTTAATGGATTAGATGACTCAATATTGTTAGATGTCAATTGATCTACAAATTAACTGCAATTCCTGCCAAAAGTCTAGAAAGATTATTGGAAAAATTGACAAGCTGATTCTAAAATTATATAGAAATACAAAAATACCTAGAATAGCCAAAACAATCTTGCTAAGTAAGAATGAAGTTAGAGTACTTAATACTGCCTTATTTTAAAATTCAGTGTAAAGCAACAGTAGTCAAGACAGTGTAGAATCCACATTAAGAGAGATAGATAGATCAATGGAACTAAGTGGAGTTCAGAATCCAACCCACATAAATAGTCAATTAATTTTCATCAAAGATGCTAAGACAATTCTATAGGAAAAAGATGTTCTTTCAACAAATGATTCTATAAGAACTGGTTATTCATTTACAAAAACTAAACCTAGATCCTTAGGTCATATACGAAAATTAACTAAAATGGATCATAGACCTAATTGTATGAGCTAAAACTGTAAAACTTCTAGGAAAAAAAAATAGGAGAAAATATTTATGACCTTGGACTAAGAAAAGGTTTCTTAGATATAATATCAAAAACATGTTCCATAAAAGAAAAACAGATAAATTGGACTTCACCAAAATGATGAAATCTTTGCTTTTCAAATATTTCTTAAATAAATGAAAAGAGAGGATCATTCCAAGATGGCTGAATAGGAACAGCTCCTGTCTGCAGCTCTCAGCATAATTGACGTAGAAGACAGGTGATTTCTGTATTTCCAACTGAGGTACCTGGTTCATCTCACTGAGATGGGTCAGACAGTGGGTGCAGCCCACAGAGGGTGAGCTGAAGCAGGGCAGGGCGTCGCCTCATCTAGGAAGCAGCACAAGTGGTCGGGGGATTTCCCTTTCCTAGCCAAGGGAAGCTGTGGCAGACGGTACCTGGAAAATCCGGACACTCCCACCCTAATACTGTGCTTTTCCAATGGTCTTAGCAAACGGCACACCAGGAGATTATATCCCATGCCTGGCTCAGCGGGCCCCATGCCCACACAGCCTTGCTTACTGCTAGTGCAGCCATCCGAGATCGAACTGCAAGGTGGCAGCCTGGGCTGGGGGAGGGGCGTCCACCATTGCTGAGGCTTGAGTAGGTAAACAAAGCAGCTGGGAAGCCTGAACTGGGTGGAGCTCACTGCAGCTCAATGAGGCCTGGCAGCCTCTGTAGACTCCACCTCTGGGGGCAGGGTATAGCTGAATAAAAGCAGCAGAAACTTCTGCAGATTTAAACATCCCTGTCTGACAGCTCTGAAGAGAGCAGTGGTTCTCCAGCATGGAGTTTGAACTCTGAGAATGGACAGAGCTGCCAGTAGGGACTTACTGACACCTCATACAGCCAGGTGTCCCTCTGAGATGAAGCTTCCAGAAGAAGGATCAGGCAGCAATATTTGCTGTTCTGCAGCCTCCACTGGTGACACTCAGGCAAACAGGGTCTGGAGTGGACCTCCAGCAAACTCCAACAGACCTGCAGCTGAGGGTCCTGATTGTTAGAAGGAAAACTAGCAAACAGAAAGGAACAGCATCAACAAAAAGGACATCCACACCAAAACCACATCTGTAGGTCATCATCATTAAAGACCAAAGGTAGATAAAACCACAAAGATGGGGGGAAACCAGAGCAGACAAGCTGAAAATTCAAAAAACCAGAGTGCCGCTTCTCTTCCAAAGGATTGCAGCTCCTTGCCAGCAATGGAACAAAGCTGGATAGAGAATGACTTTGATGAGTTGACAGAAGTAGGTTTTAGAAGGTCAGTAATAACAAACCTCTCTGAGCTAAAGGAGGATGTTCGAACCCATTGCAAGGAAGCTAAAAACCTTGAACAAAGATTAGATGAATGGCTAACTAGAATAAACAGCATAGAGAAAACCTTAAATGACCTGACGGAGCTGAAAACCATGGCACGAGAACTACATGATGCATGCACAAGCTTCTGTAGCCAATTCAATCAAGTGGAAGAAAGGGTATCAGTGATGGAAGATCAAATGAATGAAATGAAGTGAGAAGCGAAGTTTAGAGAAAAAGAGTAAAAAGAAACGAACAAAGCCTCCAAGAAATATGGGACTATGTGAAAAGACCAAATCTAAGTTTGATTGGTGCACTTGAAAGTGATGGGGAGAATGTTTTAGACATGAAATCCTTGCCCATGCCTATGTATTGCCTAGGTTTTCTTCTAGGGCTTTTATGATTTTAGGTCTAACATGTTAGTCTTTAATCCATCTTGAATTAATTTTTGTATAAGGTGTAAGGAAGGGATCCAGTTTCAGCTTTCTACATATGGGTAGCCAGTTTTCCCTGCACCATTTATTAAATAGGGAATCCTTTCCCCATTGCTTGTTTTTGTCAGGTTTGTCAAAGATCAGATAGTTGTAAATATGCGGCATTATTTCTGAGGGCTCTGTTCTGTTCCATTGATCTATATCTCTGTTTTGGTACCAGTACCATGATGTTTTGGTTACTATAGCCTTGTAGTATAGTTTGAAGTCAGGTAGCGTGATGCCTCCAGCTTTGTTCTTTTGGCTTAGGATTGACTTGGCAATGTGGGCTCTTTTTTGGTTCCATATGAACTTTAAAGTAGTTTTTTTCCAGTATTGATTCTTCCAACCCATGAGCATGGAATGTTCTTCCATTTGTTTGTATCCTCTTTTATTTCATTGAGCAGTGGTTTGTAGTTCTCCTTGAAGAGGTCCTTCATGTCCCCTGTAAGTTGGATTCCTAGGTATTGTATTCTCTTTGAAGCAATTGTGAATGGGGGTTCACCCATGATTTGCCTCTCTGTTGGTCTGTTATTTGTGTACAAGAATGCTTGTGTTTTTTGTACATTGATTTTGTATCCTGAGACTTTGCTGAAGTTGCTTATCAGCTTAAGGAGATTTTGGGCTGAGACAATGGGGTTTTCTAGATATACAATCATGTCATCTGCAAACAGGGACAATTTGACTTCCTCTTTTCCTAATCGAATACCTTTTATTTCCTTCTCCTGCCTAATTGCCCTGGCCAGAACTTTCAACACTATGTTGAATAGGAGTGGTGAAAGAGGGCATCCCTGTCTTGTGCCAGTTTTCAAAGGGAATGCTTCCAGTTTTTGCCCATTCAGTATGATATTGCCTGTGGGTTTGTCATAGATAGCTCTTATTATTTTGAGATATGTCCCATCAATACCTAATTTATTGAGAGTTTTTAGCATGAATGTTGCTGAATTTTGTCAAAGGCCTTTTCTGCATCTATTGAGATAATCATGTGGTTTTGTCTTTGGTTCTGTTTATATGCTGGATTACATTTATTGATTTGCATATGTTGAACAAGCCTTGCATCCTAGGGATGAAGTCTACTTGATCATGGTGGATAAGCTTTTTGATGTGCTGCTAGATTCAGTTTGCCAGCATTTAATTGAGGATTTTTACATCAATGTTCATCAAGGATATTGATCAAAAATTCTCTTTTTTGGTTGTGTCTCTGCCAGGCTTTGGTATCAGGATGATGCTG
Organism: Homo sapiens; assembly: GCF_000001405.40. Taxonomy (NCBI): domain Eukaryota; kingdom Metazoa; phylum Chordata; class Mammalia; order Primates; family Hominidae; genus Homo; species Homo sapiens. The sequence goes on from NC_000022.11 coordinate 11,133,799, forward strand.
GCCTCATAAGATGAGTTAGGGAGGATTCCCTCTTTTTCTATTCATTGGAATAGTTTCAGAAGGAATGGTACCAGCTCCTCCTTGTACCTCTGGTAGAATTCGGCTGTGAATCCATCTGGTCCTGGACTGTTTTAGGTTGATAAGCTATTGATTATTGCCACAATTTCAGAGCCTGATATTGGTCTATTCAGAGATTCAACTACTTCCTGGTTTAGTCTTGGGAGGGTGTATGTGTCAAGGAATTTATCCATTTCTTCTAGATTTTCTAGTTTATTTGCATAGAGGTGTTTGTAGTATTCTCTGATGGTAGATTGTATTTCTGTGGCATCAGTGGTGGTATCCCCTTTATCATTTTTTTATTGTGTCTATTTGATTCTTCTCTCTTTTCTTCTTTATTAGTCTTGCTAGCAGTTTATCAATTTTGTTGATCTTTTCAAAAAACCAGCTCCTGAATTTATAAATTTTTTGAAGGGTTTTTTGTGTCTCTATTTCCTTCAGTTCTGCTCTGATCTTAGTTATTTCTTGCCTTCTGCTAGCTTTTGAATGTGTTTGCTCTTGGTTTTCTAGTTCTTTTAATTGTGAAGTTAGGGTCAGAAAACACCACAAAGATACTCCTCGAGAAGAGCAACACCAAGACACATAATTGTCAGACTCACCAAGGTTGAAATGAAAGGAAAAATATTAAGGGCAGCCAGAGAGAAAGGTCGGGTTAGCCACAAAGAGAAGCACATCAGACTAACAGCAGATCTCTTGGCGGAAACCCTACAAACAAGAAGACAGTGGGGGCCAATATTCAACATTCTTAAAGAAAAGAATTTTCAACTCAGAATTTCATATCCAGCCAAACTAAGCTTCATAAGTGAAGGAGAAATAAACTCCTTTATAGACAAGCAAATGCTGAGAGATTTTGTCACCACCAGGCCTGCCTTACAAGAGCTCCTGAAGGAAGCACTAAACATGGAAAGGAATAACCAGTACCAGCCACACAAAAACATGCCAAATTGTAAAGATCCTAGGAAAAAACTGCATCAACTAATGAGCAAAATAACCAGTTAACATCATAATGACAGGATCAAATTCACACATAACAATATTAACCTTAAATGTAAATGAGCTAAATGTCCCAATTAAAAGACACAGACTGGCAAACTGGATAAAGAGTCACGACCCATCAGTGTGCTGTATTCAGGAGACCCATCTAACGTGCAGAGACACACATAGGCTCAAAATAAAGGGATGGAAGAAGATCTACCAAGCAAATGGAAAGCAAAAAATAGCAGGGGTTGCAATCCTAGTCTCTGATAAAACAGACTTTAAATCAACAAAGATCAAAGAGACAAAGAAGGCCTTTATATAATGGTAAAGGGATCAATGCAACAAGAAGATCTAACTATCCTAACTATACATGCACCCAATACAGGAGCACCCAGATTCTTAAAGCAAGTCCTTAGAGACCTACAAAGAGACTTAGACATCCACACAGTAATAATGAGAGAATTTAACACCCCACTGTCAATATTAGACAGATCAATGAGACAGAAGGTTAACAAGGATTTCCAGGACTTGAACTCAGCTCTGCAACAAGCAGACCTAATAGACATCCACAGAACGCTCCACCCCAAATCAACAGAATGTACATTCTTCTCAGTGCCACATCTCACTTATTCCAAAATTGACCACATAGTTAGAAGTAAAGCACTCCTCAGCAAATGTAAAAGAACAGAAATCACAACAAACTGTCTCCCAGACCACAGTGCCATCAAATTAGAACTCAGGATTAAGAAACTCACTCAAAACCACACAAATACATGGAAACTGAACAACCTGCTCCTGAATGACTATTGGGTAAATAACGAAATGAAGGCAGAAATAAAGATGTTCTTTGAAACCAACGAGAACAAAGACACAACATATCAGAATCTCTGGGACACATTTAAAGCAGTGTGTAGAGGGAAATTTATAGCACTAAATAACCACAAGAGAAAACAGGAAAGATCTAAAATCGACACCCTAACATCACAATTAAAAGAACTAGAGAAGCAAGAGCACACAAATTCAAAATCTAGCAGAAGGCAAGAAATAACTAAAATCAGAGCAGAACTGAAGGAGATAGAGACACAAAAAACCCTTCAAAAAATCAATGAACCCAGGAGCTGGTTTTTTGATAAGATCAACAAAATTGATAGACCACTAGCAAGACTAATAAAGAAGAAAAGAGAGAAGAATCAAATAGATGCAAGAAAAAATGATAAAGGGGATTTCACCACTGATCCCATAGAAATACAAACTACCATCAGAGAATACTACAAACCCCTCTACACAAATAAACTAGAAAATCTAGAAGAAATGGATAAATTCCTGGACAAATACACCATCCCAAGACTAAACCAGGAAGAAGTTGAATCCCTGAATAGACCAATAACAGGCTCTGAAATTGAGGCAATAATTAATTAGCCTACCAACCAAAAAAAGTCCAGGACCAGATGGATTCACAGCCGATTTCTACCAGAGGTACAAAGAGGAGCTGGTACCATTACTTCTGAAACTATTCCAATGAATAGAAAAATAGGGAATCCTCCCTAACACATTTTATGAGGCCAGCATCATCCTGATACCAAAGCCTGGCAGAGACACAACAAAAAAAGAGAATTTTAGACCAATATCCCTGATGACCAATATCAATATCAATGCAAAAATCCTCAATAAAATACTGGCAAACAGAATCCAGCAGCACATCAAAAAGCTTATCCACCACTATCAAGTCAGCTTCATCCCTGGGATGCAAGCCTGGTTCAATATACACAAATCAATAAACATAATCCATCACATTTCAGCCTTCAAGTAGCTATCAGGTGCGCCACCATGCCCAGCTAATTTTTGTGTTTTTAGTAGAGATGGGGTTTCACCATGTTGCCTAGGTTAGTCTTGAACTCCTGGGCTCAGGTGATCTGCTCGCCTTGGCCTCCCAAAATGCTAGGATTACAGGTGTGAGCCACTGTGCCCAGCCAATCTATGTAACTTTTCATGGAAGGCAAATCTATAAAGAAAGCAGATCATTTGTTACTTGGGACTTGGGTAGGTGGGAGTGAGGATGTAATGCAAATAAGCATGAGGAAACTTTTTGAGATTATGTAAGTATTCAAAAACTGAATTTTTGTAATTGTTGTACAACTCTATAAATTGGCCGAAACTCATCGAAATGTGCATTTAAAATAAATAAATTTTGTGCTCTGTATATTATACCTCAAAAAAGCTGATAAAATATAAATTGGAACAAAAGTACTGGAAAACAGTAAGTTGGGGATGAATGAGGGTGATCAAAATTAATGCATCCTTCAAGATGAAACTAGTGATTTTAATTTTACAATTAGTTTTTTAAATTACTTGTTAATTCAAGTACACATATTACATTTCAAGGGTAATCGTGAATAGAATAGAACTAGAACATACAACTTTTAAACAAATAGAGGGGAAAAACCTTGATCAATCTAATACAATGCATTGGGGAAAAGAATTGGAGAAATAATATGGTTAACAGAAAGCACAAAATATGATGACAGAAGTAAATATAAATTTATCCATAACCACAATAAACGTAAATGGTCTAAATTAGTTAAAGACAGACACTTGAAGACTGGATAAAAACGTGAAAATCCAGGTATAACCTGTAATAGTTAAAAACATGAAGACACAAAATTCTGAAGGTATGAGATGAGTAAATGATAAATAAAACAAATATTAACCAATATATGGCTGATATAGCTATTTTCATATCAAAAACTATAATTTAAGACAAAAAACATTCTGAGGAATAAGTCATTATGTAAAGACATGTATGCATGTAACAATTCAACCGTAAAATATATGAAGCACAAATTGGCAGAATTACAAAGAAAAATGGCTAAATCCTCAACCTTGAAGAAACTTAAACCTCTGAGTCAATGATAATCAAAATGTAGTAAGATTATCTCAGATTTTAACCGCTGTATTAAAAAAGCTTAATTTAAAGGAAATATATAGACTTCTGTATGCTCAAATTAGAGAATATATATACTTTGAAGCCTGATAAAGTCTTAGGAGAACTGAACCTATGCTAGCCTATGAATCATATCACAGCAAATAAACAAACATTATAACATGCGGCTTATACTCTGTAACCAAAATGCAATTTATAAGAGAAAAAAATGTAAATTTCTTTCATCTTCAAACTAAAGGCATACCTTAAATAATTTTTAAGTCAAAGAAGACATGAAAACAAAAATCAGAAGATATTTGGAAGTGAAGTACTACATAACAAAACTTGTGAGATAGAGCTGAGGCAGTACTGAAAGGGTAATTTATATCTTTAAATGTTTATATTGAAAAATAGGCTGAAAATTAGTTAAGTGTCCACCTTAGGAAGTTTAGAAAGAGAAAAAGAGATTGGGCATGGTGGCTCAGGTCTGTAATCCCAGCACTTTGGGAGGTCAAGGAGGGTGGATTACCTGAGGTCGGGAGTTCAAGACCAGCTTGGCCAACATGGTGTAACCCCTGTCTCTACTGAAAATACAAAAATTAGCTGGGTGTGGTGGTGGGTGCCTATAATCCCAGCTACTCGGGAGGCTGAGGCAGAAGAATTGCTTGAGCCAGGGAGGCAGAGGTTGCAGTGAGCCGAGATTGGGCCACTGCATTGCAGCCTGAGCAACAGAGCAAGACTCTTAAAAAAAAAAAAAAAAAAAAAAAAATGGAGTAAACCTAAATAAAATAAATTAAAGGAAATAAGGCTAAAAGTAGAAATAGACATTAATAAACTATAAAACAAGGAAACAATAGGCAAGATTCACAAAACCAAATGCTGATTCTTTGAAAAGAATAATAAAATAGGCACTCTTCTGGTAACATTGATTAATTAAAAAGAGAAGGTATAAATAAGCAATATTAGGAATAAAAAATGAAGTGTAACAAAATATGAGTGAAAAAATAATAAAGTGAATACTATAAATGACTATATGACAACAGTCTAAAAACATAAGTGAAATGAACAACTTCATTGGCTACTGTAACTTATAAACACTTAGTCAACAAGAAATGGGACACCTGAATATTCACGTATCTATTTTTCAAAATTCAATCAGTAAATACTTTCTCATAGAAAACACCCACTAGTATGAGATACTTTAATATGAAAGTTCTACCGAACATTCAAAGAACATATAAATAAGCACTATCATATCAAAATAATTTCAGAGAATGGAAAAAGAGGGAACACCTTCAATTCATTTTGTGAGGCTAACATAAATGCAATATAAATATTTAAGATCATTATAATCCATGAAAATTGGAGGCCAAACTAAGCTTAGATACAAACATCTAAAATAAAATAGTAGTAAATCTAGTAATGTATTCTAAAAAAAATTCTGGACCAGTTGGGTATCTCAGGAATAGAAGCAAACGTTTAACAGTTTGCCCAAGCAACTTTTATTTTATTTTATTATTTTTAAAAAGACAGGGTCTTGCCCTGTTGCCTGGGTTGGAATAGTGGCACGATCATATATCTCACAGCATCCTAGAACTCCTGGGTTCTAGGGACCCTCTGCCTTAGCCTCCTGAGTAGCTGGGACTACAGGCACACACCACAATGCCTAGCTAATTTTTAAAATGTTTTTATTTTGTAGAGATGAAGTCTCACTATGTTGCCCAAGCTAGCCTCAAACTCTTGGCTTCAAATGATTCTTCCACCTTGGTGCCCCGAAGTGTTGGGATTACAGGCATCAGTCATGGCACCTGGCCTGAGCAGGTTTTAATAAGTCACCCCATGTTTGGAGAATTTCTAACATTATTAATATTACTTTCCCAATGCAGAAGCCAGGAACACAAGTTTTTAAACTTCCTTTGTCATGAAGGCATAGACACATGATGAACACACTGCTACTGACATTAATTTCTGCTTTTATCTGCATAGCTGGTACCTCCAGGAAAAGGAGAGGAATGAGGTTGGAAAATAGTACACAGGAAGCTTCAACTATATCTATAATGATTTTATATATATATATATATATTTTTTTTTTTTTTTTTTTTTTTTTTTTTGAGGCTGGAGTGCAGTGGTGCAATCTTGGCTCACTGCGACCTCTGCCTCCTGGGTTCAAGCGATTCTCCTGCCTCAGCCTCTTGAGTAGCTGGGACTACAGGTGCATGCCATGATGTCTGGTTAATTTTGTATATTTTAGTAGAGATGGGGTTTCACCATATTGGCCAGGCTGGTTTGAACACCCAACCTCAGGTGATCTGCCCGCCTCAGCCCCCAAAGTGCTGGGATTACAGGCGTGAACTACCGTGCCTGGCCAGATAATGTTTAAATTAGAAGGCTGCATGCATAAATATGATATCTTGGACGTTGATGAGACCACATAGACAAACTATATAAAAGGAAAAGAGGAAAAGGCCCAGGTCTAAGTCCTGAGTGATATTTCATATTTAGAAGTTAGGAAAAGAAGAATGGAATATGTAAGACAAGAAAGGAAGAAGCAGTGAGGGAAGAAGAAAACCAGTAAGTGGTGCCTCAGAATTAGAAAAAAAAGACAAGTGTTTCAATAAGAGAGTGATCGTTGGCGTCAAAAGCTGCAAAGATCTTGAATACGATGCAGACAGAAACGTTCACTGGATTTGGTTAATACACTTAGTCAGATAACAAAAAAACAGCAATTTCACCAGTTACACTCCTTTTCATACTCCAGAGATGAAGGATAATATTCACTAGCCTATATAATATTCTAGGTCTTGAATGTCAAATAACATAACATAGGTGATTGTGTTAAATGTCAGAATATTTAAGGAATAATTATGTTGTAATATACAGGCCAGCGTGCATTTGTTGCTTGCTGGAGTAGTCAAGTTTTATTTCTGACAAGTCTGCAGTTCCAGGGAGCCTCTCCCTGGCTGAGTAACTCTCACCCATCCATCTGTCAGGGAGAGTTTGCTGTGCATCCCAAGTATCTTAGAATTGGGTAGAAGTTTAGCTTTAATTAGTTTGACCTTGAGTCTAACAACAGGAGAGGGAACAGGCAGCGAAGAGGTCGTGAATGATGTCCCAGCAGCAGGAGACAGGGAGTGTCATTATCATTCCTGGTCTTCTCACAGTACTCTGAATACAGAGAGTGAGGAAGATTAGGGGGCCCTGTCTGCTGACTCCCTGATGATCTCAGACCCTCTCTGCTCTTTCTGGATGGTGGCCTGTTAATTCTGGCATACTATTACTGATAATATATTTATCCTTTTCACTGTGATTTGCCCAATTGTTGCTTTAGCACTGGACCTTGTCAAGAAGTTGTTGGTAGTGGATCCAAAGGCACGTTTTATGACAGAAGAAGCCTTAAGACACCGTGGCTTCAGGTGGGTGTGGGACAGTGCCTGCTAGCATAAAATACATGGGAAGCCCTGCTGCCTGAGAGACATGAGACAGAGGACAGAAACATGTTTAGTCTGTTTAATCTAATTGTTTTAGATGTATGGGGGGTATCTTGGAGGATGGGTTACAACCTGTCTTTTTTTTTCTTTTTTGAGACAGGTTCTCATTCTGTCACCCTGGCTGGAGTGCAGTGGCACGATCTCAGCTCACTGCAACCTCTGCCCCCCGGGTTCAAGTGATTCTCCTGCCTCAGCCTCCCAAGTAGCTGGGATTAAAGGTGCATGCTACCAAGCCCAACTACTTTTTGTATTTTTTGTAGAGATGGGGTTTCGCCGTGTTGGCCAGGCTACAACCTTTTTGATGTTACTCATGGCTGTTGGATGTACAAGCTCACTTTATGCCCTGTTCTGGTTCCACTTGGCTGACCCAAGTCTCCAGTCTGGCCTGTGTTCTTTTGAGGGCTTGTTCTGGCTCTACCCCCAGCCATGTCCACTGCTCTTCATAGGTGGGGTGCATTCCAGCCATCTTCAACCTTAAATCAGGGAAGCGGGGGAGGGGGAGGAGGACAGCCTCCCTGGGGAGAACCCAGCTATTTCTCAAGCCCAAGTGACTGGGTATAAAGGGTCCCACTGCTTGTTCATTCAGGTGAGTAAATGTGTCCTTAGTGAAGGCCGTCACCTGCACCTTTCATCTGTGTTACTGCTGTGCTCCTGCTAGGGGTTGGGGCTGCCATTATTAAATGCTGACCTCATTTGGAACTGCCAAGAGTTGGAAGTATGTTTTGGCTTTGCTGGATTAATCTTTAGTTTTGGAATTAGCTACGGCATTGGGCAGGTTTTCTGATAGATGTCTGGTCTTCTGTAAGGAGCAGTTCCATTCAACACAGCCATGCCCCTTTCTATTAATTTTCTTTTGGTCTGTGTATTAGTCTGTTCTCATACTGCTATAAAGAACTGCCCAAGACTGGATAATTTATAAAGAAAGGAGGTTTAATTGACTCACAGCTCCACATGGCTGGGGAGGCCTCAGGAAACTTACAATCATGGTGGAAGGGGAAGAAGGCGTGTCTTAATGGCAGCAGGTGAGAGAGCTTGTGAAGGAAGTGAAGGGCGAAGAGCCTTTTATGAAACTGTCAGATCTCGTGAGAACTCACTATCACGAGAATAGCCTGGGGGAAACTGCCCCCATGAGCCAATCACCTCTCAACAGGTCCCTTTCTCAACACCTGGGGATTACAATTTGAGATGAGATTTGGGTAGGGGCATAAAGCCAAACTGTATCAATCCGTTTTCTGTGGAGATGGGGGACAGAACTGGTAGCTTGAGCTAGAGGCTGTCACTTGAGCTAAATGCTGTTTCTCTGGGGATTACTGGCCCAGGAACTCCTTGGGCAATCCGGCCTCAGCCCCGTACTTCTGGGACTCTAGGAAGACTGCCCCCATTCTCTGTTCTAATACTCTACACCTAACAGTTTTGCTCAGGCCAGCTCAGGTTGAGAACAAGAAAAACTTAAAAAAAAAAAAAGACAGATATATGTGGTTTGGATGTTGCCCTAGAAACTACGGTCTCCCCAGAAGAAATCTGTCAGATGATTTAGCATTTAATAGACCACACAGATTTGAAACAGCGGGACCCTGGAGGAAAGGGCTTTGGAAACAAAGGGTGCCTTTGCATGTGGGGATTTTAATTTTGATGAAAAAGAGAAACATGTCTTTTGGCTCTTTTCATGTGTCCTAATAGGGAAACTCTTGGGTCTAAATGTAGAGGTACAGGAGCTGTGTTCATCTCTAGCAAAAAAACAGAGCTGGCCTGTTAAGCCCGGGAACAGGGTTTGCATCTGCCTGAAATTTATGAGCAAGTGTAGCCCATTTTTCTTGTACTTCTTCGTCTCAAAGAAAACTTATTAACAACCAAGGAGAAGGTGAAGTTCAACTCTGTTGCAGGATCTCCCTGGAATACTCTTTTAGCCACCTTTTGTTTTTGCAGTAAAAGGAGGAATGAGCATTGAATGAAGACAAGGATGAAGACTGACCATCTAAAACATCTGTTAGTAATAATTTGGGTTTTATTTTGGGAAAATTCAGTGTTTTCGCAAAAACCAAATGGTTTTGTGGGTCTGGCACTGGACTGAGTGTTGGGAATGTGGATCCTGGTCTCTGTTTTGTCATTAACAGAGTGCCCAGTTTTGGGAGCATCCCTTACATCTACGGCCTGCCTCATATTTACTGCCTGAAATAGAGGATTTCTTCTGTTTGCTTTCAAGGGATATTATAATTTAATTTTTATTTTATTTATTGTTGGAGACAAGGTATTCTTCTGTTGCCTAAACTGGAGTGCACTGGTGCAATTATAGCTCACTGCAGCCTCGACCTCCTGGCCTTAAGGGATCCTCCCACCTCAGCCTCACAAAGTGCTTGGATAATAGGCACGAGCCACTGTTCCTGGCTAATTTAATATTTTGGAATAATTGTAGACACCATGAAGAAAACCAATGTTTATTTATTTATTTCCTTTTTTGAGATGGAGTCTCGCTTTTGTCTACCAGGCTGGAGTGCAATGGTGTGATCTCAACTCACTGCAACCTCCACCTCTGGGTTCAAGTGATTCTCCTTCATCAGCCTCCCAAGTGGCTGGGATTATAGGTGCCTGCCACCATGCCCAGCTCATTTTTGTATTTTTAGTAGAGATGGGGTTTCACAGTTTTGCTCAGGCCAGCTCAGGTTGAGAACAAGAAAAACTTAAAAAAAAAAAAAGACAGATATATGTGGTTTGGATGTTGCCCTAGAAACTACGGTCTCCCCAGAAGAAATCTGTCAGATGATTTAGCATTTAATAGACCACACAGATTTGAAACAGCGGGACCCTGGAGGAAAGGGCTTTGGAAACAAAGGGTGCCTTTGCATGTGGGGATTTTAATTTTGATGAAAAAGAGAAACATGTCTTTTGGCTCTTTTCATGTGTCCTAATAGGGAAACTCTTGGGTCTAAATGTAGAGGTACAGGAGCTGTGTTCATCTCTAGCAAAAAAACAGAGCTGGCCTGTTAAGCCCGGGAACAGGGTTTGCATCTGCCTGAAATTTATGAGCAAGTGTAGCCCATTTTTCTTGTACTTCTTCGTCAGACTAGTCTCAAACTCCTGACCTCAGGTGATCCACCCACCTTGGCCTCCCAAAGTGCTGGGATTCCAGGCATGAGCCACTGCACCTGACCTGATTACTTGTTTTAAATATAGGCCTGATTAGGCTTGTGACCACTCTGTTTGGCTTCACTGAAGGGCTGCCAAGAGATGGACTTTTGAGAGTGACACTGCAAGATAATTGAGATCCTAAGTAAGGCTGTGAGAGGGTGTGGAGAGGAATCCAGATGAGCTTGCTGCTGTCAAATGGCAATGGGGAGCTATGCTGAGAAACTCAAAACAGAGTGACCTCAAGTGATCTGCCCTGCCTTGGCCTCCCAAAGTGCTGGGATTACAGGCGTGAACCACTATGCCTGGTCCTCCTTTCCTTCTTTCTTTCTTCCTCCTTCCTTCCCCCTCCCCTCTCCTCCATTCCTCTCCCCTCCCCTCTCTCATCCCCCCTCCCTTTTTCCTTCCTTGCTTCTTTCCTTCATTTTTTTCCTCAGGGTCTTGCTCTCTCACCTAGGCTGGAGTGCAGTGGCATGGTCACTGCACCATGACTTTCAGGCTCAAGTGATCCTCCTGCCCCAGCCTCCCAAGTAGCTGAGACTACAGGTGCATGCCACCATGTCTGGCTAATTTAAACTTTTTTTTTTTTTTTTTTTTTTTGGAGACAGAGTCGTACTCTTTTGCCCAGGCTGGAGAGCAGTGGTGTGATCCTGGCTTACTGCAACCTCTTGAGTTCAAGTGATTCTCCTGCCTCAGCCTCCTGAGTAGCTGGGATTACAGGCTTGCACTACCACGCCTGGCTAATTTTGTATTTTTAGTAGAGACGGGGTTTCACCATGTTAGCCAGGCTGATCTCAAACTTCTGACCTCAGGTGATTTGCCCGCCTTGGCCTCCCAAAGTGCTGGGATTACAGGCGTGAGCCTCCGTGCCTGGCCTAATTTTTAATTTTTTTTTGTAGTGACTAAGTCCCACTATATTGCCCAGGCTGGTCTCAAATTCCTGGCCTCAAGCAATTCTCCCACTTTGGTCTCCCAAAGTGCTGGGATTATAGGCATGAGCCACCATGCCCAACCTAGTGTTGTAAAATTTCCATATCCATCAAATTGCCAAATGGTGGAGGACTTTGCTGTATCCTCTCCCTTTCCCCACTGTGGTATGCTTGGCTCAGTGGGAGGAGGGGCTGGAGTTGGGTGGGAAAGTACATGAGGCATTGGAATCAGATAACTCTGGGTCTGTATTCTGCACATGCCACCTGTGAGTGGCTGAGCTGGGCTTCTGCCCAACACTCAAAGGCCACATTCCTAGTTATAGATGTTCCTTTCACCTTGCTGAAGATGGGGAGAGCTGCACCAGACCACCTCTCAGGGTTTCCTAATGCAAATCCTTGAACCCTGCAGAAGTGAGCATCCAGAGAGGTGGGAGCTACTCGTATACACACTGTCTGTGCCCTCCTCATCTCCCGCTCCTGCAGCATGAAACACCTGTAATGCTTTGTTCTGTTTATTGTCTCCCTTTCTCATTAGACCTGAGCTCTGGGATATCGTGGGCTTAAGTACTTCTGAAAATTTGTATGGCATCTGCTGGGTGAAATTTCCTAGGGTGCTGGGCTGGTTGTTAGGACAGCCTGGGTGACTGGCCTCATTCATGGCAGGGGCAGCAGGTGGAGAGTGGTCCCGGAAGGATTTGAGGATCTGCACGGAGTCAGGACCAGCCCCTGGCCCCCTGATTGTCACCTTTCTCAGGATCTGGGATGCTAATTCAGAAACTCTTGACTGCTGGAGGCTGTGATTGACCCACTGAGAGCTTTTAGGCATGTGGATGTGAGTCAGCCAGGATTGATGGAGCATTGACTGCTAATTGGACTCCTCTGGGAAGGTAGAGGGGGGCAACACATAATGCCTTCACTGTGGGAGCTTCATCAAGGAAATGATTCTTGGACGGACATCTTTTCCTCCCTCTTTCCACAGGAGCATGCTAGCCCTGTCATTCTAGGAGTTTATTATCCTTCAGACACAGCTACTTATGTTTTTAATTCCCTCACAGGATGAAGACATGAAGAGAAAGTTTCAAGATCTTCTGTCTGAGGAAAATGAATCCACAGCTCTATCTCAGGTTCTAGCCCAGGTATTCATATTCCTGATGATCACTAAATGTAGTCCGGGCTTAAGGAGCTGATAAGAAAAGATGATGAAATTCAAGATTTTCCTGAGTAGCAATTGCTTAACATTGTTTCAGTTATAATGTAGTAGAAACTCTGTTTGAACTTGATTCACTCCAGGACGCTTAGATTTAAAAATGCAGGATATGTTTAATATCTAACACATAATAGACAGATAAGCACAGCTAGGGATTGTCATCCAAAAGGTCACCTGCAAGGCAATTTCGAAAGACTCTATTAGAGGCTCAAATATAAATTTGTTGGAAAAATTAAAATTTGGGTCAGTAGTTGATTCCTTGATTACAAGTTTATTCTTTAAAGTTCTTTGTGAGTATAAGTTAATTCCAGTCCTGCTTTTTTGTTGTTGTTGTTGAATGGTAGCTGTCCTTTTTCCCACTGTTTCCTCCCCACCCCGATTTTTTTTTTTTTCTTGAGACAGAGTCTTAGTCTGTCACTCAGGCCAGAGTGCAGTGGTGCAATCTCAGCTCACTGCAACCTCTGCCTCCTGGGTTCAAGCAATTCTCCTGCCTCAGTCTCCCAAGTATCTGGGACTACAGGTGTCCACCACTGTGCCCAGTTAATTTTTGTATTTTTAGGTGAGATGGGGTTTTGCCATGTTGGTCAGTCTTGTCTCAAACTTTTGACCTGAAGCAGCGACCTGCCCACCTCGGCTTCCCAAAGTGCTGGGATTATAGCTGTGAGTCACCGCACCCAGCCTTCCTCCCAATTTTGTATATGAGAAAACAACTAAGGCACAAAGGTTGTCTTCCCGCAAAAGACCAAGACTTGGGGCTTCAATTGAGAGGTATTGTAGTCCTTTTAAACTTGATATTTAGAAGAGGATGATCAAGAGGAAGGTGGTTATGCTACTTGCTTTCAGTATACATCATTCAGGGGTCAGAAGCCATAGGGAGAGAAATATCTATTAGATAAGCATGTCTGAGTTGCGGGCTGTGGTGAGGACTCAGTTGTCAATGATGACAACCAGTAATTTTTGGTACTAGTATTTCACATCAAATGCCCCCACTTTACTGGAAGTACATTGAGGAACTCTGATAATCTTAAAGAAGCCAGTGATTTTCTTTTGAACATTTCTCCATTTTCCTTTATTTTCAGCCTTCTACTAGTCGAAAGCGGCCTCATGAAGGGGAAGCCAAGGGTGCCGAGACCACAAAGCGCCCGGCTGTGTGTGCTGCTGTGTTGTGAACTCCGTGGTTTGAACATGGAAGAAATGTACCTTATTTCACTCTGTCATCTTTCTTTTCTTTGAGTCTGTTTTTTATAGTTTGTATTTTAATTATGGGAATAATTGCTTTTTCACAGTCACTGATGTACAATTAAAAACCTGATGGAACCTGGACTTTGTGCTTCTGCTTGATAATTGGTTCTTTAGTTGAATGGCTTTATTATTTATTTATTTGAGACGGAGTCTCACTCTGTTGCCCAGCCTGAAGTGTAGTGGTGCAAGCTTGGCTCACTGCAACCTCTGCTTCCCAGGTTCAAGCGATTCTCGTGCCTCAGCCTCCCAAGTAGCTGGGATTACAGGTATGCGCCACCATGCCAAGCTAATTTTTATATTTTTTTGTAGAGACAGGGTTTTGCCATGTTGGCCAGCCTGGTCTTGAACTTCTGACCTCAGGTGATCCGCCTGCCTCGGTCTCTTAAAGTGCTGGGATTACACACGTGAGCCACTGTGCCTAGCCTGAATGGCTTTTTTATATTTAAAGTTGTTGTGTGCCTTTCATCTGGAGCTACTCCTTGGCTATCACTAGGCAGGTTTCCCAGGATGTCACCCTGGTCTCAGCCTGTGAGAGCTGAATACAAATTCTAAGGGCCCCTTGGAAAGTTCCAGGGAAAGGAGCATAGCGAGGTTGGGGGTGGAGTTTGTAGAGACTGGCTGGCTGGCTGCTGACATCTTCATGAGAACAGCAGGTACATTGGTGCATAATAACAGGCCAGGTTATATTCTCATCCTTGCCCTCATAAAGATACAGGTCTACAGTCTCTGAAACCTTTGGGCTAGATAAGTTCTGAAATTTAATTACCCAATTTTAGGAAGGTGGTAAGGCATATCTACTATGTGTATGTGTAGCACCCCAGTGGAGTCCTACACATGTGGAGTCCTACCCCAGTGGAGTCCAAACATGTTAATATTTCCACAGCAAATATTCACAGTAAGAGGGATAGAGAAAGATTATAGGTAGTTGCATATTGATTCATATCAGTCTTTTCTTCCAAATGAGCTACAGTGACTCATTTTTGAGAGCTGTTTGGGTTTTGGAAGTGGAGATAAGGCATGGTTATGTCTTGTTGACCCAATAATGACTGGGGAGGCCCTGTGCAAAGACTTACCCTTGGCTGCTCTTGTCCTCACAGTGATTCTATGAATGAGGTCCTCTAGCCACTGTCATGTCACAGGTGAGGAAACCAAAGTTGGAGGACAAAGGTAACTTTTCTGATGTCGCACAGCTGGTAAATGGCAGAGCTGGGACCCAACCCAGGTCTTTTTGACTCTAAAACTAATGTTCCTTATTGTCCACTGAATCTGCTTTTATAACTTTGCTTGGTTGATGCTAGGACAGTTTGTAGCTCACTGGCCATGCCATAAATTGAGTGCTGTGGTTCAAAGGCCACTGGCGATTCAGTCAAGGCAGGCTCAAGGGCACACAGCCATTTCCTTAGGAAATGGGGATGGTGGTTGGAAATTTCTATTAAAGGGTATATAAGCATTCTGAGACTTGGCTGGCCTGGTGTAGGGGGTTTGTTGGGAACTTAGGTGGTTTGCATGTTTAAAGGAATAAGACTGAGACTGCCAATTAGATGGGTTTTAGCTCATTTGAATATTTAATGTGGAGGCTGTGGTTTCCTGGGACATTTTTCCCACTGTGGAGAGTTAGCCAGCTTTTCTCTGTTTCTTTTTTTTTTTTTTAATCGAGATGAAGTCTCACGCTTGTCGCCCAGGCTGGAGTGCAATGGTGTGATCTCAGCTCACTGCAACCTCCGCCTCCTGGGTTCAAGCGATTCTCCTGACTCAGCCTCCTGAGTAGCTGGGATTACAG
Source organism: Homo sapiens (assembly GCF_000001405.40). Lineage (NCBI taxonomy): Eukaryota > Metazoa > Chordata > Mammalia > Primates > Hominidae > Homo > Homo sapiens. The sequence continues at coordinate 11,149,523 of NC_000022.11, forward strand.
GCACCTGCCATCATGCCCAGCTAATTTTTGTATTTTTAGTAGAGATGGGGTTTCACCATGTTGGTCAGGCTGGTCTTGAACCCCTGACCTCAGGCAATCCGCCCGCCTCCCTCCCAAAGTACTGGGATTAGAGGCATGAGCTACCTTGCCTGGCCACCCTTCTCTGTTTCCAGAGCATTTTGTATTAACTCCCTCTCATGATATCTTATATGGCAGGCTGAATAATGGCCCCTCCAAAGTGTCCTCAACTTAATCCCCGGAATCTGTGACTATGTTCCTTTCCATGACAAAAGGGACTTTGCAGATGTGATTAAGCATCTTGAGATGGGAACTTATCCTATGTTGCCTGTGGGCCCAGTGTCCCATCACAGTGCTTTTTTTTTTTTTTTTTTTTTTTTTTGAGAAGGAGTTTTTTGCTCTTGGTGCCCAGGCTGGAGTACAATGACGCAATCTCGGCTCGCTGCAACTCCATCTCCCAAGGTTCAAGCGATTCTCTTGCCTCAGCCTTCCGAGTAGCTGGATTACAGGTGCTCGCCAACATGCCCAGCTAATTTTTGTTTTTCCAGTAAAGATGGGCTTTCATCATGTTGGCCAGGCTAGTCTCGAACTCCTGACCTCGTGATCTGCCCACCTTGGCCTCCCAAAGTGCTGGGATTACAGGCGTGAGCCACCACATCCAGCCTACAGTGCTCTTTTAAGAGGGACTCAGCAGTCAGGGGAGATGGCAATGCGATGATGACTGAGTGTCTTAGTCTTTTTTGTATTGCTATGCAATATCTGAGGCTGGGTAATTTATAAAGAACAGGTTTATTTCTTACAGTTCTGGAGGCTGGGAATGTCAAGATCAAGGGGTCTGCTTCTGGTGAGGGTCTTCTTGCTGTGTCATCCCATGATGGAAGGTATCACATCAAGAGAGAAAGGGGGCTGAACTCAATCCTTTTATTAGGAACCCATCCCCATGATAATTAACCCTCTGCTGAGATAACATCATTACTCTATTAATGAGGGCAGATCTTTCATGACCTAATCTCCTCTTAAAGGTCCCATCTCTCAACACTGTTGCATTGGAGATTAAATTTCCAACACATGAACTTTGGGGGACACATTCAAACCATAGCACTGTGCAGAGATTGGAGTGGTGTGCTTTAAAAATGGAGGAAAGGGCCACAATCCAGGGTATATAGGTAACCACTAAAAGCAGAAAAAGGCAAGAAAACGGGTTTTCCCTTCAGAACCTCCTGAAGGAATCAGTCCTTTACAACTAGACTTTAGCCAAGTGAAACTGATTTGAGGCTTCTGACCTATAGAACAATAAGATATTAAGTCTGTATTGTTGTAAGCCAATCAGTTCATGGTAATTTGTTACAGCAGCCATAGAAAACTAATTGACTCACCAATGGGAGAAATCAGCTGCTGATTGAAGGCTACCAAACACCTACTTCCTTTCCTAACATCACTTTAATTTTATCTTAGAGGAATTCTTTTCCCTATCCCATTAAGTTATGGGAGATGGGGCCAGGCATGGTGGCTTAGCAATCCCAGCACTTTGGGAGGCTGAGGCGGGTGGATCACTTGAGGTCTGGAGTTTGAGACTAGCCTGGCAAACATAGTGAAACCCCATCTTTACTAAAAATACAAAAATTAGCCAGGTGTGGTGGTGGGCACCTGTAATCCCAGCTACTCCAGAGGCTGTGGCATGAGAATTGCTTGAACCCAGGAGGCAGAGGTTGCAGTGAGCTGAGATCGCACCACTGCACTCCAGCTTGGGTGACAGACTGAGAATCCATCTCAAAAAAAAAAAAAGTTATGGGAGAGGATGGTAAAGCTAAGTATCTTTTGTACCTACTCCCCAGCCCCACCACTGCAGAAGCTGAAGGGGTTCCTAGAGGCGTCTTCTGCCATGGAGCTGTTCCCACTGGCCCCTAGCTAGAGGTGAGTGTAGGACTTTGAAACATGAACAAATGGAGCTGGGATGGCAATGGCGGGAACAATATTGTGCTAATCTGAACTCTGCACTTCCTAACTTTGGCTCTGGGTAAATTACCTCAAATTGCTGAGCCTTTGTTTCCATATTTATAAAATGGGTGCGGTAAGAGTACCAACCTCTTCTATGCTGTTTGGAGGAGGAAGGTCCATAAGGTACCTGGCATGTGGTAAGGGATTCATGAATGTTGGCTTCTATCATTAAGGCTGGGGGAGACACATAAGTAGCCAGAGGGAGTCATAGAAAGTTCTTGAGCCAGAGAAGTAAGATAATCTTTTCAGCTTTTTGTGAAGCATAAAAGGTGGGTAATTTGCTTGCCTTTGACCAAGCAAATTTGGGGTGTGCCAGGCCTGGGGTGAATGGTGGGAACCCAAGTAGAGGGATATTTCTCATTGACTGAACTAACTGTGACTCCGTTTTGCGGAGCAGCCAGGTTGCTTCATGGTGGACCTGCTGCATGCCTACATGATGGTGCCATGGATAGCTCTTGTTTGTGCCAGCCCTGTACCTGATACCTCTTGTGGTAATTGCATCCCTATTTTTCAGAAGGAAGCATCCCTCCTCCCACTTTCTGGTTTTCCCCATGTCCTTCTGGAGGAGATGACCCCAACCGCTTCCTGAAGGGGCTTCATGAAAGCCAGGTCTGGCCAGGCTGGATGTGGTGATTGGCTCAGGCAGGGGAATGTGGCGCAAACGGATCCAGTGAAAGTCAGTCCTGGGACTTTGGCTGGAACTAATGGGGAACAGCCTCTGCTTTCTTGCGCAGATGTGAGTTAGGAGCTGCTTAGGCCACCATGAGGAAAGAACCGCGTGAGAATGAAGTAATCAAAGGGAAGCAAGCACTGAGAGATTAGAGAGACTTATCTTGTATAAGTGCCTGTATCCAGCTATGCCTGAAGTGAGGTACCACCCCAGGCCTTTTCAGTCATGCTATCAGTTTTGTTCCTTTTTTCTGTTTTACTCTTGGTGGAGTTACTTTTTTTCCTTGTTACTTGAATAAGAAAAATAACAAACTAGAAGGCTGGGTGCGGTGGCTCACGCCTGTAATCCCAGTACTTTGGGAGGCCAAGGCGGGTGGATCATGAGGTCAGGAGTTTGAGATCAGCCTGACCAACATGGTGAAATCCCGTCTGTACTAAAAATACAAAAAAAATAGCCGTGCGTGGTGGTGCATGCCTTTAATCCCAGCTACTCAGGAGGCTGAGACAGGAGAATCGCTTGCATCTGGGAGGCGGAGGTTGCAGTGAGCTGAGATCGTGCCACTGCACTCCAGCCTAGGTGACAGAGCAAGACTCCATCTCAAAAAAAAAAAAAATCCAAAACTGACACCCTAACATCACAATTAAAAGAACTAGAAAAGCAAGAGCAAACACGTTCAAAAGCTAGCAGAAGGCAAGAAATAACTAAAATCAGAGCAGAACTGAAGGAAATAGAGACACAAAAAACCCTTCAAAAAATTAATGAATCCAGGAGCTGGTTTTTTGAAAGGATCAACAAAATAGATAGACCGCTAGCAAGACTAACAAAGAAAAACAGAGAGAAGAATCAAACAGAAGCAATAAAAAATGATAAAGGGGATATCACCACTGATCCCACAGAAATACAAACTACCATCAGAGAATACACAAACACCTCTACGCAAATAAACTAGAAAATCTAGAAGAAATGGATAAATTCCTCAACACATACACCCTCCCAAGACTAAACCAGGAAGAAGTTAAATCTCTGAATAGACCAATATCAGGCTCTGAAATTGTGGCAATAATCAATAGGTTACCAACCAAAAACAGTCCAGGACCAGATGGATTCACAGCCGAATTCTACCAGAGGTACAAGGAGGAACTGGTACCATTCCTTCTGAAACTATTCCAATCAATAGAAAAAGAGGGAATCCTCCCTAACTCATTTTATGAGGCCAGCATCATTCTGATACCAAAGCCAGGCAGAGACACAACCAAAAAAGAGAATTTTAGACCAATATCCTTGATGAACATTGATGCAAAAATCCTCAATAAAATACTGGCAAAACGAATCCAGCAGCACATCAAAAAGCTTATCCACCATGATCAAGTGGGCTTCATCCCTGGGATGCAAGGCTGGTTCAACATACACAAATCAATAAATGTAATCTAGCATATAAACAGAACCAAAGACAGAAACCACATGATTATCTCAATAGATGCAGAAAAGGCCTTTGACAAAATTCAACAACCCTTCATGCTAAAAACTCTCAATAAAGTAGGTATTGATGGGACGTATTTCAAAATAATAATGCCCTCTCTCACCACTCCTATTCAACATAGTGTTGAAAGTTCTGGCCAGGGCAATTAGGCAGGAGAAGGAAATAAAGGGCATTCAATTAGGAAAAGAGGAAGTCAAATTGTCCCTGTTTGCAGATGACATGATTGTATATCTAGAAAACCCCATCATCTCAGCCCAAAATCTCCTTAAGCTGATAAGCAACTTCAGCAAAGTCTCAGGATACAAAATCAATGTGCAAAAATCACAGGCATTCTTATACACCAACAACAGACAAACAGAGAGCCAAATCATGAGTGAACTCCCATTCCCAATTGCTTCAAAGAGAATAAAATACCTAGGAATACAACTTACAAGGGATGTGAAGGACCTCTTCAAGGAGAACTACAATCCACTGCTCAAGGAAATAAAATAGGATACAAACAAATGGAAGAACATTCCATGCTCATGGGTAGGAAGAATCAATATCGTGAAAATGGCCATACTGCCCAAGGTAATTTATAGATTCAATGCCAGCCCCATCAAGCTACCAATGACTTTCTTCACAGAATTGGAAAAAACTACTTTAAAGTTCATATGGAACCAAAAAAGAGCCCGCATCGCCAAGTCAATCCTAAGCCAAAAGAACAAAGCTGGAGGTATCACACTACCTGACTTCAAACTATACTACAAGGCTACAGTAACCAAAACAGCATGGTACTGGTACCAAAACAGAGATATAAATCAATGGAACAGAACAGAGCCCTCAGAAATAACACCACATATCTACAACTATCTGATCTTTGACAAACCTGACAAAAACAAGCAATGGGGAAAGGATTCCCTATTTAATAAATGGTGCTGGGAAAACAGGATACCCATATGTAGAAAGCTGAAACTGGATCCCTTCCTTACACCTTATACAAAAATCAATACAAGATGGATTAAAGACTTAAACGTTAGACCTAAAACCATAAAAACCCTAGAAGAAAACCTAAGCATTACCATTCAGGACATAGGCATGGGCAAGGACTTCATGTCTAAAACACCAAAAGCAATGGCAACAAAAGCCAAAATTGACAAATGGGATCTAATTAAACTAAAGAGCTTCTGCACAGCAAAAGAAACTACCATCAGAGCGAACAGGCAACCTACAACATGGGAGAAAATTTTCACAACCTACTCATCTGACAAAGGGCTAATATCCAGAATCTACAATGAACTCCAACAAATTTACAAGAAAAAAACAAACAACCCCATCAAAAAGTGGGCAAAGGACATGAACAGACACTTCTCAAAAGAAGACATTTATGCAGCCAAAAAAACACATAAAAAAATGCTCATCATCACTGGCCATCAGAGAAATGCAAATCGAAACCACAATGAGATACCATCTCACACCAGTTAGAATGGCAATCATTAAAAAGTCAGGAAACAACAGGTGCTGGAGAGGATGTGGAGAAATAGGAACACTTTTACACTGTTGGTGGGACTGTAAACTAGTTCAACCATTGTGGAAGTCAGCGTGGCGATTCCTCAGGGATCTAGAACTGGAAATACCATTTGACCCAGCCATCCCATTACTGGGTATATACCCAAAGGACTATAAATCATGCTGCTATAAAGACACATGCACACATATGTTTATTGCGGCATTATTCACAATAGCAAAGGCTTGGAACCAACCCAAATGTCCAACAATGATAGACTGGATTAAGAAAATGTGGCACATATACACCATGGAATACTATGCAGCCATAAAAAATGATGAGTTCACGTCCTTTTTAGGGACATGGATGAAATTGGAAATCATCATTCTCAGTAAACTATCACAAGAACAAAAAACCAAACACCGCATATTCTCACTCATAGGTGGGAATTGAACAATGAGATCACATGGACACAGGAAGGGGAACATCACACTCTGGGGACTGTTGTGGGGTGGGGGGAGGGGGGAGGGATAGCACTGGGAGATATACCTAATGCTAGATGACGAGTTAGTGGGTGCAGCGCACCAGCATGGCACATGTATACATATGTAACTAACCTGCACAATGTGCACATGTACCCTAAAACTTAAAGTATAATAATAATAAAATAATAAAATTAAATTAAATTAACCATAAAAAAAACAGACTAGTAAATGCAACCATTTACAAATTCCAAGAGACTCTTGAAGATTCTTTTTGTTAGTAGGGAAAACATTCTCCATTTTTCTGCCAACTTTAGGGTTTTCAGAGAAGTTTGGGGGAGAGAAAGGAAAGCAAAGATGTGGGAAGAAAGAGTACTTGCAGCCCCAAGTTGGGCGAACTCCTCCCAGCTACTTATACCACAGGGTTTGGGGAGCAGAGCCCCTTTCATTAAACTTTTAGGAGTCTTGGATGGATAGGGTGGGAATTACACCAGTGAAACTCAGCTTTGTGTGTGCCAGGCATTGGGCCCTGGGATATGCAGTCATGTGTTGTATAATGACATTTTAGTCAATGACAAACCACACGTAAGTCAGTGGTACCATAAGATGATTATGGAGCTGAAAAATTCCTATTGCTTAGTGACATAGCCATTGTAATGTTAGGGTAATGCATTTCTGTGTTTCTGGTGATGCTGGTGTAAACAAATCTGTGCTGCCAGTTCTATAAAAGCATAGCATGTACAATTACGTACAATATATAATACTTGATAATGAACAACTATGTTACTGATTTATTTTTTTGAGACAGAGTCTTGCTCTGTCGCACAGGCTGGAGTGCAGTGGCGTGATCTTGGCTCACTGCAACTTCTGCCTCACAGGTTGAAGCGATTCTTCTGCCTCAGCCTCCTGAGTAGCAGGGAATACAGGCACTCACCACCAAGGCCAGCTAATCTTTGTATTTTTAGCAGAGATGGGGTTTCACCACACTGCCCAGGCTGGTCTCAAACTCCTGACCTCAAATGATCTGCCCTCCTCAGCCTCCCGAAGTGCTGGGATTACCCACATGAGACACTGTGCCCAGCCCTGGTGTATTTAGTGTTTTTCATAATTTTAGAATGTATGTCTTCTACTTACATTAAAAAGTAGTTAACTATAAAACAGCCTCAGGCAGGTCCTTCAGGAAGTATTCTGGAAGAAGAAGGCATTGTTATCAGAGGAGATGACAGCTCCATGCGTGTAATTGCCCAGGCTGGAGTGCAGTGGCATGATCTCGGCTCACTGCAACCTCCGCCTCCTGGGTTCAAGCAATTCTCCTCCGTCAGTCTCCTGAGTAGCTGGGATTACAGGTGCACACCACCATGCCTGGCTAAGTTTTGTATTTTTAGTAGAGATGAGGGTTTCACCATGTTGGCCAGGATGGTCTCGAACTCCTGACCTCAAATGATCTGCCTGCCTCGGCCTCCCAAAGTGCTGGGATTACAGGTGTGAGACACCACGACTGGCAATATTTTTTAAGATACATTTCAGTAAGCTAAGGTTAATTTATTGAAGAAAAGCTTTAAAAATTTTTGGTGTAGCCTAAGCATATGGTGTTTATAAAGTCTACAGTAGTGTACAGTAAGGTCCTATGCCTTCACACTCACTGACTCACCACAGCATCTTCCAGTCCTGCAAGCTCCTTTCATGGTAAGTGCCCTATACAGGAGTACCATTTTAAAATCTCTCATACTCCATTCTTACTGTACCTTCTCTATGTTCAGGTACACAAGTACTTACATTGTGTTACAACTGCTTATGGTATATTCAGTAAAGTATCAGGCTGTACAGGTGTGTAGCCTAGGAGCAATAGGCTACGCCATACAGCCTAGGTGTTTAGTAGGCTATACAAGGCTATACAAGGTTTGTGTAAATGCACTCTGCTGTTTGCACAATGCTGCAATCACCTAAGGAGTCATTTCTCAGAACCATCCCGTGATTAAGAGAGGCATGATCATACAGTCCTCATCTCCCTGAAAGCTCAGTCAACCCTGTGCAGTGCTACTGCCACACTCCCCTTTCGCACATGTAGAAATCAAGGATCTTTGGCTCCTCTGAGTGACTTGTTCAAGGTTTCTCAGTTTCCAAAAGATGGAGGCGGGACTTGAATTGAGATTTCCCTTTCTTGAGAACCTGTGGTCCTTAACCATTAAAACCACTTAAGAGGTCTTCTCTCTTGATCACTACCTACTAAGCGCTAGGCGCGGTGCTGAGACGTTCTCTTGATTATCATATTGAGTCTTTAGATTTAGGAGAAACAGGCCGAGCGCGCTGGCTCACGCCTGTAATCTCAGCACTTTGGGAGGCCGAGGTAGGAAGATCACAAGGTCAGGAGATGGAGACCATTCTGGCTAACACGGTGAAACCCCACCTCTACTAAAAATACAAAAATTAGCAGGCGGTGGCGGGCGCCTGTAGTCTCAGCTGCTCGGGAAGCTGAGGCAGGAGAATGGCATGAATCGGGGAGGCGGAGCTTGCAGTGAGCCGAGATCGCACCACAGCACTCCAGCCTGGGTGACAGAGCGAGACTGTCTCAAAAAAAAAAAAAAAAATTTAGGAGAAACAAGTCCCGAAGCCCTGACCCTAACACGCAAGGGTTAGTGGAGATGTGGGGCTTGAACTCAGCTTCTCCGTTGAGTCTGGCTGTCTCCGGGACGCAGGCACGTGCTTGCACACCTCCATGGTGGCGATCCCGCCCCCTTAGTAGCGTCCTTAGCTCCGCACTTCTTGCAGGGAAGTTCCTCTTGGCCCAGACCCTCGTCCTAGGCCCCGCGTCGTGGGGGAAGCGAAAGGGGCAGTGTGGGGAAGTGGCCGAGGGGTCGGGTGCGGGATGGTCTGCAGAGAGGCAGGCGGCGGTGCGGAGCCGGGAACCACGCGCTCACCCTCCAAGTCGGACGGGCCCGGCGGGGGTGGGCGAGACACTGGGAACAGCGGCCAGCTCCAGAGGGCGCGAGGCGGGCCGCGCGGGGAGGGGTGGCGCGCGCGGTTGGGGGGCAGTGAGGGTCGCCGCGGCGGCGCGCAGCACGGCGGGAACATGGCGCGCGAAACTGGCGCGCGCGCCTAGCTGGCGGGACCCTTAGCTCCAGGTGGACGCGGCCCGGACCCCGTGGATATGGAGCAGTCGCCGCCCCCGGCGCCCGAGCCGACCCAAGGGCCGACCCCCGCAAGGAGCCGAAGGCGGCGGGAGCCCGAGTCGCCGCCAGCGTCGGCGCAGGTGAGTGGGTGAGGGGCTCGGGCCGGGAGACTTTCTTTGTGAAACTCCGGCGGTGGGAGCCGGGCCAGGCCTCAGCGGCTGAGGAGCGCCTGTGAGGCGTAAGGCGTCTCGCAGTCCGGGTTCGATCCCAGCCGCCAGCCGTCAGGAGGCGGGAACTGGTCCGCAGCCTGCCTGCCTCAGTTTCCACGGGAGTGTGTGTGGGTGTGTGAGGGTGTGTATGGGTGTTGGCCTGCGCACACCGGAGGGGGGGTCGGTATACAGTCGGCGCCTAATGCATGCGGCGCCTCCCCCCTCCCCCCAGTCCCCGTGGGGCGGAACCTGGGGACTGGAGTCCACCGGAGCAGTAGGCGGCACCCGCGGGGAGACAGGTGTCGGCGCAGCCTGGGAGGCTCAGGTGCTACCTTTGCCGGGTGGGGTTTGTGAGGAGTGAGCTCTTCGTCCCCGGAGGCGAGCAAATCTGTCGGTGGCTCATCACAGAGCGCTGTTTTGGAAAGCGTTCCACCCACCTCAGCTTCGTGCTGTGTTTGGGCCACTAGTCAGGGGGAAGGATGCTGAGCGACATGGACTTTAGAGGTGGGGCTCCCGCTGGACGGGATGGCTCTGGGCTCTCCAGCTTACCCCCACCCTTGCCTCCCAAACCCGTTAGAGCGTAGGAATCATTGGGAGCACGTGATAAAAATGCCACGGATTGTGGCTCACCAAAGCAGGGAAGCGGATTTGGAACTTAGGCTCCCAAGTTGTGATCCGTCGAGCTTGGCAAGCACTGTTTTAGAGAGTAGGCTTCCTGCAAGCAGGAGCCGGTTTTGTGTATACCTCACCATGGCATCTTGGTACCTGGCATGGTGCCTGGCACACCGTAGATGATCAGAAAATATCTGTAGAAAGTCTAAATTATTAGGGATAGTGCAGCATAGGAGTTCTTGAGACATTTTCAGGAGCTTCTTGAGATTAATATCTGTCAGATTTGTTTTACAGTATATGATTTTTCTCAGCTCCCAACTTTTGTGATTGTTTTTAATGCCATGTTTTCAGTATGTTCTAGGCAAAAGCAGGGTATATGTTGCTTAGTATACACTATCCACTAGGCCGGTTGCGGTGGCTCACTCCTGTAATCTCAGCACTTTGGGAGGCAGATTGCTTGAGCCCAGGGGCTTGAGGCTATAGTGAGCCAAGGAGTTAGAGGCCAGTGTGGGAAACATAGTGAGGCTCGTCTCCGCAAAAATTAGCTGGGTGTGGTAGCATGCATTTGCAGTCCCAGCTACTCTGGAGGCTGAGGTGGGAGGATCACTTGAGCTCAGGAAGTACAAGTTGCAGTGAGCCAAGGTTGTGCCACTGCATTCCAGCCTGGATAACACAGAGAAACCCAGTCTCTTAAATAATTAAATAAATACATAAATGATTATGTATACTCCAGCTAGGTTAAAATTAATTCTGAATCAAAATTCTAAATTAAAATATGCATGTTTCTTTCTCTTCATCATTTGAGAACACTAGGCTTTTAGGATTTCATTCCGTTGGGGCAGGTAAATATCTACATTTTTGACAAAGCAAATATGAATCACTGTTAATTCAAGAAAGGTGGGAATTTGCTTAAACCTGAGTATTTGTAGTCTTTGTGATTTTTTTAAACTTTAAATATAAGTTTTCTTTTTTTTCTTTTTTTTTTTGAGATGGAGTCTCACTCTGTCATCCAGGCTGGAGTGCAGTAGCACAATCTCAGGTCACTACAACCTCCACCTCCCGAATTCAAGCGATTCCCCTGCCTCAGCCTCTGGTGTAGCTGGCATTACAAGTGTGTGCCACCACGCCCAGCTAATTTATGTATTTTTAGTAGAGAGGAGGTTTCACTGTGTTGCCCAGGCTGGTCCCAAACTCCTTGACCTCAAGTGATCTGCCCACCTTGGCCTCCCAAAGTGCTGGGATTACAGGCGTGAGCCACGGCACCTGGCCTTATTTTTATTTTTTTGAGACAGAGTCTCAGTCTGTCGCCCAGGTTGGAGTGCTGTGGCATGATC